>NC_000015.10:91895823-92047338 GCF_000001405.40 Homo sapiens | reverse complement strand
TATTTATATATTATATATATATTTGTATATATATTTATATATTATATATATATTTGTATATATATTTATATATTATATATATATGTATATATATTTATATATTATATATATATTTGTATATATATTTATATATTATATATATATTTGTATATATATTTATATATTATATATATATTTGTATATATATTTATATATTATATATATATTTGTATATATATTTATATATTATATATATATTTGTATATATATTTATATATTATATATATTTGTATATATATTTATATATTATATATATATTTATATATATATATTTATATATTATATATATATTTATATATATATATTTATATATACATATATTTAATGGCCAAAGGCAATGGTTTTCAATGTGTGGGCTGCAACCAGCAGCATCATTATCCCCCAGGAGCTCATTAGAAATCAGAAATTAGAAATTCACAGGGCCCTTGCCAGCCCTATTGAAAACAGTCTGAGAAACACCTGCCTAAAGAAGACAGACCTAGGTGACAGACAACGAAAAATTGAGATTTTAACTCTCTGCGGAATGAAATCCTAAGCTGGGACTATAGCCTTCTCATAGCTCTGCTCTACCTGAAGTAAATCAAGGAATTCACAGGTGAGCTACATGGGGCTTCACAGTTGATTCTTCAACACTGATGCAGTACAGGGGCTACCAAAACTGCAGCCTTGGACAAGGCAGCCTGTACTGCACTTCAGTACAGCTACAGATTCTGACACATGTGCACAGAAAAGAAAGTCTATATTATAAAGAAAATACTCTTTTGTTTTTTGAGACAGAGTCTCACTCTGTAGCCCAGGCTGGAGTGCAGTGGCATGATCTTGGCTCAATGCAACCTCCGCCTCCTGGGTTCAAGCGATTCTCCTGCCTCAGCCTCCCAAGTAGCTGGGATTATAGGTGCCTGCCAGCCACATCGCCCAGGTATTTTTTTTTTTCTTTTGGTATTTTTAGTAGAGACAAGGTTTCACCATGTTGGCCAGGCTGGTCTCGAACTCCTGATCTCAAGTGACCCATCCGTCTCGGCCTCCCAAAGTGCTGTTATTACAGGTGTGACCCACCACGCCCAGCCGACAATAACTTTTTGAAGATGTTTTTATGTGTCCACTGTAGGCTGTCCAATATAGCTTACAATCTGACACTGTAGATACTTCTTAAACCTCTTAGTTTCTTATAAAATGAGAAAATCCCTTCTAGCTCCGATTAGGTCTAAGATTAACCCTAATGTATACATCAGACACCTAGGAGGATCTTATAACCCAGTTGGAAAATGGTAATAAAATAAATGAAACCATCCCTTCCCTTCATTAACACTTAGAGCTTGCCCACAGATGCGCACCGGTGTACTGTCAACACCATCACGAGAGGACAGAGCGATGCCAGTTAGATTTGGGATCAAAGGCTGAGCCAAATTTGAACCTCATATCCTAGCAACTGGGTGACTGAAGCCAAGTGACTGGAGATATTGATACTATCTACTTTGCAAGGAGGCTCTGAAGGCTTATGTGAGAAAGGGAAATACTGAGTATAGATGCTGGCACTCCGCAGTAGCTCAATAAATGCACCTTGCCTCTGCATTACAAAAAATTCTAAATCATATAATGTCCAAAACAAATGACTAGAGATAGGAAATAGGGACATTTGTTATTTATACTGCTGAAAAGGTGGAAGCCACAAAATGACCTAGAGTAGAAGACTGACTAAATAAATCAATTGCACATCTGTATGAAAGGCTATTATACAGGTATTAAAAATGCTATTTTAAGACAAATTAGTGGGACAGGAAAAATTTCATATTATAGTGGTTACAGAAGATAAATAGCATAATATCAGTCATGTAAAAATAATATTACCTTTATATGCATGCACATTTATTTCTTTGAAGGATCCATACACATTATAATGGTAATTTCTGGGTGGCAGAATTATAAGTGATTTTTATCTCTTGTGTATGCTTTTCTGTTCCTTAAAATGTTTTACAATGAGTATGTGTTACTCTAAGAGACAATTTTTTTTTTTTTTTTTGAGATGGAGTCTTGCTCTGTCACCCAGGCTGGAGTGCGACAGTGTGATCTCAACTCACTGGAACCTCCGCCTCCCAGGTTCAAGAGATTTTCCTGCCTCAGCCTCCCGAGTAGCTGGGACTACAGGTGCATGCCACCAAGCCCAGCTAATTTTTTGTATTTTTAGTAGAGACGGTGTTTCACCACATTAGCCAGGATTGTCTCCATCTCCTGACCTCATGATCTGCCTGTCTCAGCCTTCCAAAGTGCTGGGATTACAGACAACATGTTTTAATTATTAATTTCAGAAGTTAGATGGATCAAGATTTGAGCCAAGGCTCAGAGGATGGCTGGAGATGAGAGATGGAAGGATGCTCAGAGGGTGTTCAGGCCAAGGAGAAGCAGATGGAACCACAGAGCAGGTGTTGCGAGGGGATGGGGACAACCTTAGAAGATCTGCTTGTTGGAAGCCAGAGACTACGTCAGGAGTCAAGGGAAAGAGGAATCGATGGACAGATCGGGTGGCACTTTGGGTAGAAGCTGGAGCATCAGACAGGCTGGACTTGATGCAACAGTTGGCAGAGGAGCCACTGCAGCCTCCTAGGCAGGTGACGACTTAAGAAGAGCAATTCCGTGGGCTGCCTCAGTCTCTGAGCACAGGATGACCTGAAGACACATGGACCTAGGAGGAGGAAGGTGAGGGGCCCTGACCGTGATGGGATCTGGAGGAAGGAGCTCCAGAGTGGGGATGCCTCCAGAGTTGAAGATCTAGGAAGACTTCCTGTCCACTTGGGTATGAAGGGAAAGGCTGGGAGAAGGGAGCCAAAGGTGCCTCTTGTTTGCTTGCCTGAGAGAATGAGGATGTGGCAGGGCTGTCACTGAAACCCACAATGGGAAGAGATTTTATCTAGTGATCTAGCAGACAGAATATGCCTGCAGTTGGGGCCTGTCTGAACAGGATAAGAGATAAGTTCCCAGAGAGAGGAACAGGGGTTCGTGAAATTGGTTTCGGGGGGTACACATCATTCCAGGACTGGAGAGGAAGAGCAGACGCAGGCAGGGATAAAGTTGTGGGCACTGAGATAGGAGGGAAGCCAGACTTGCCCTCCTTCCCAGAAGCCAAGACAGGAGAGTGTCCCCGGGAAGGTCATGGTGGAGATGAGGCAGAGGTCACTGGTGGGGCTGACTCTAGATCCTAAGAATTCGTATAATGGTCTATGAAGCTGCCAGATACAGTTACGGCAAGAGTAGGAGAGAACCAGGCTGAAGCTGGAAGGAGTAGCTGGGTCTAGAGAAAAGTTCCTTTTCAGACAGGGGAAGCAGAAGCAACAGAAGCATGCAGAATATGTTGGAAAGCAGAAAGGAAGCAGGCTCCCAGGGGGGATGGAAAAACCGACCAGGGAGAAACAGGAGGAGGGAGGCAGGAACAGGTGCTTCAGCTTCCCTGAGTTCCCCTGGACCGATCTCTACAAGGAGGGTTATAATTTCGACCTCTTGGGGTTCTGAGTAAGAACTGAATGAATTAACTCATGTAAAACACCCAAGACTGTTGACATGCAATCTATGAAAGTGGTTGTCATTATGTGGAAATAAAGAAAATGGATGAGATGCAGTGGGTTGAAAAATGTGAACCAGGAACCTGGTGGGAACTTCAGCTAAGAAAGGAATACAAATGAAATAAAACTTGTCTATGCATGGAGCCTATTGAAAAGCTGCCATTCAAACTTGGGCAGTCCTGAACAAAAAGGTATCAAAGCATGTTTAGGCTCTGGGGTTGGGCTGGACTGGATGACTCAAGGATGCTTCTCACACAGTGGAACTGACGTTCACAGCCTGCCTGGGCCAGTGAGAGGCTGGCAGTCCTGACATCTGGGGCCTGCTATCGCTGGTTATACAGGCAGAGCAAGAGCACCTGCACTGTGTGATGTTTAATTCTCATTGGATGTTTGGCCCCTGTTTGTTTTCATGGCCTGCAATTAAAGAGACAGAGTGTCTATAATCCCATGGGCAATGCCGTCCATGAAATCTGTACTCTACCTTAGTTTTATGGGTAAAACAGGTCCAAACACTTCCTCCCACCCACCCACCCTTGAAGCTTAACCATGGCTAGGAGGCTGGTTCTGGTCAAGGAGTAAGGTCAACTGGCAAGCATGGAAAGCAAACACAGTTAGTAGTTGGCCAACTACTAACATCACAGCTCAAACAACTGGGCCAAATGACTCTTGGCAGATCAAACAGCCATGTCTGTGACAACTGCACAAAGGTAGGTCACCAAAAAAGTCACAATTAACCCAGAAGAGCCCATCCTTGTCATCTTGATTCTAGAATCTCTCTCTTATCTTCTAATGATTCCATGGCCACTTGAGTCATCCTTCTAAAATACACACCTTAACACCTGCTGATGACTTCCTATGGCCTAAAAGATCACCTGACACCCTAGGGGTGGAAACTGTTCCCAAAACACGACATCAACTTTTTACTTCTCCTAGGCCTGTCCTGTGCTTGCTGATTTCTCAGTGTGCCTTGTGCTTTCACTCTCCTATATTTTCACATCTTAGCACACACTATCTTCTTTGCATGGAAAGGCTGCCCTCCTCCCTCAGCTATCTGGTGAACACCTACCCACTCTTTGAGGCACATTAAAGTTGCACCTTCTCAGACCTCCACCTCCATGTTACAGTCAATGGCCCATTTCTCTGTGCTTTGTAGGACGTGGGCAATGCTGGATTTTTCTGTGTGCTCCTCTGAAGCAGGAGGTGACTCTGCCATTTCCCAGTGCCCGGTGTAGGGCCTGTCACAATGCTCTTAAGTGTTCAGCAGGTAGATGAATAAGCTAAGCAGACATACAGCCTCGTTCCTACATCAATTGGCCCAACCGTGTGGATCCCCTCAAAATCATTTTCTAGACGGCATAATAAAACAGTCATAGCTGATCCCTTAAGTCATCCTCCACTTTTGTCTGCAACAGTCAACCTCTTTTCCCTTTTAAAATTAATTTTAAGTTCGCTAGGCAAGATGATCTGAGTAGGTTTGCACAGCCTCTGCCTGGCACACTTCTGACACTGTGTGAATGTTAAATGGTAGCAGTAAAAAGAAAGAGTAAAAGTGTTTACTCAAGGAAAGATGAGAATAGCTTGCTGTAGATGGAAAACAGCATCAACTACTGAAACCATCTGGCTGAGAGAGGACAGGGCAAGAATGCAGAGAGCGCCATTAAAGAACCCCAGAGTCACATGGGGCTCATCTGAGACCTCTTGGACCTCTTGCCTGCTTCCACCCACTCTTTGGAAGGTGCATTCTGCTCATTATTTGGTTTGAAGCTGAGCCTCATGGCCATTAAATTAAATAACACCCCACCCCCACCATACTTCCTGCCAACCCTCCAATTACATGATTAGAATGTGATAAACATCATTTAGCTAGAAATCTACAGCATACAGATTGGCTAAAATATTAAAATTAAATATTTAAATGTCATTACACTTATCCTCTGTGTTTATGTGCTTCTAATTCTGAATTCCTTTCTGTACCTAAGATGGTATTTCGTCTCCTTGGACCTCTACAGTTCTGATTTCTAAATGTCAGGTGACACGCAGGAAGGATGGGAAGAATAGGGCAGGCTCTAAATAAGTGGAAGATCCCTCAGATTCTGCAACTATGATTTGAATTACACACATATGCACATATATTCAGTGAAACCTGACATCTCCATCTGCATTTAAAATGTACGGGTTGAAGAGACCACATAGTTCATTCGAGACTCCATTGGCTGGCATAGTCTACCATTGCTTTCCCTGTTCCCTGAATTCACAGCATACAAAAAAACTGCATAACTTAGTCTTCTGCTGTATATTAGCTGATTTCTTAGAAGTTCTGTCCATTTGGCAACCATGTGATTCATGTGCTGAAGTCTCACCTCCCAAAAAAGGGCTTCTAGTCTATTGTGCTGGGAAATATGAATCTTCTGTGTCTCCCTCCCTGCCTCTGCAATGCCTGTTCTGCAAGATGTGTGCCCTGGATAAATACCTGTTGATTGATGGAAACATACCTGTACTATACATGCACAAAAGGGTTAGGAGGAACAAAGCACTGTCATTCATCTTAGGAAAGCTGAAATAAAGCCAGTTCTACTTCCTGTCCAGGGTTGTTACAAGGGAAGGGGGCTAGGCATATTAGTCTACAGGAGGCTTCCTGTAGACTAGACACTTTCTACAAGAGCATCACATTCAATTTAATGCTCAAAACAACCCCATGAGATGGGCATCATGAAGGAGGCAGAAAGTCTGAGGTCAGATGGGTCCAGGCCACACAGAATGTCGGGAGGAGTGAGGACACATGCCCAGAGGACTAGGATTGCTCAAACCGAATCAATCTTAGTATCATCAAAATGCTGATTCCCAGGCCCAGATCCCAGACTAAGTCAACTTGAATTTCTACACGTTGCATCTGGAAATGGTCATTTTAAACAGCTCCACAGACACTTTTGATGTTTGAGACCCATAGTCAAAGGACAGTAATTAAAGAAGGCTGAGGACCAATCTGTTCTCCTTCAGAACCACCTCACCTGACCCACCCTAATATCCCTAGATGGCCTAATATGTCACAGGCAGTGGGAGAGGCTGGTAGTATTGTCCAGGTATACACCACGTGCTCCTCAAAATTGCACAGGCAGAGCACCAAGCAGGTTCTTAGGAGAGGAAGGTACCAGTGTCATGGTAGGACACTGCTCTTGGAATGTGGATGGATTTATAGTTGCATCATCTGCCTTTGGCCACTACCCATTTCCTGGGCCTGGAACTTGGGGAAGATAACATGATTGCTCTCATTTCACACTGGGATATCTCTGGGCACAGCAGATTCAAATGCTCATTAGAAATCAGTATCTCCAAAATTCACTGGCCTAGCATGAAAACCAAAATCTGAATGGAACCTGAAACATTCAAAGAACTGATCTGTTTCCATGCCTTTGAATAGACATTCCAAATTTTTCTAATATTTGGCTTTCTTGAAAAGATTAAGGTGACAGATGCAAAATTAGTATTAATGAAGCTGGGTGCCAAATTGCATGCGCCCTTTATTTTTTTAATTTTTTACTTTGAGTTCTGGGATACAAGTGCAGAACGTGTAGGTTTGTTACATAGGTATACATGTGCCGTGGTGGTTTGCTTCACCTATCAACCCATCATCTAGGTTTTAAGCCCCACATGCATTAACTATTTGTCCTAATGCTCTCCCTCCCCTTGCCCCCAAGCCTCCAACTGGCCCTGGTGTTTGTGCATGTGTTCTCACTGCTCAGCTCCCACTTATGAGTGAGATCATGCGGTGTTTAGTTTCCTGTTCCTGTGTTATGTTGCTGAGGATGATGGCTTCCAGCTTCATCCATGTCCTTGCAAAGGACATGATCTCATTCCTTTTTATGGCTGTATGGTATTCCACTGTGTATATGTACCACATTTTCTTTATCCAGTCTATCATGATGGGCATTTGGGTTGGTTCCATGTCTTTGCTATTGTAAACAGTGCTGTAATAAACATACATGTGCGTGTGTCTTCTTAGTAGAATGATTTACATTCCTTTGGGTTTATACCCAGTAATGGGATTGCTGGGTCATGTGGTATTTCTGGTTCTAGAACCTTGAGGAATCGCCACACTGTCTTCCATGTGGTTGAACTAATTTACATTCCCACCAACAGTGTAAAAGTGTTACTATTTCTCCACAGCCTCACCAGCATCTGTTTCTGGACTTTTTAATAATCACCACTCTGACTGGCACAAAACACTATCTCATTGTCGTTTTGTTTTGCGTTTCTCTAATGATCAGTGATATGGAGCTTTTCTTCCTATGTTTGATAGTCACATAAATGTCTTCTTTTGAGAAGTGTCTGTTCATATCCTTTGCCCACTTTTTGATGGGTTCTTTTTTTCTTGTAAATTTAAGTTCCTTGTAGATTCTGGATATCAGATCTTTGTCAGACGGGTAGATTGCAAAATTTTTCTTCCATTCTATAGTCTCCCTGTTTACTGTGATAGTTTCTTTTGCTATGCAGAAGCTCTTTAGTTTAATTAGATCCCATTTGTCAATTTTGGGTTTTGTTGTAATTGCTTTTGGCATTTTTGTCATGAAGTCTTTGCCCATGCCTATGTCCTTAATTGTATTGCCTAGGTTTTCTTCTAGGGTTTTTCCGGTTTTGGGTTTTACATTTAAGTCTTTAATCCATCTTGAGGAGGACGGGGTCCAGTTTCAGTTTTCTAAATATGGCTAGCCAGTATTCCCAGCAACATTTATTAAATAAGGAATCCTTTCCCCATTGCTTTTGTCCCGTTTCTTGAAGATCAGATGGTTGTAGATGTGTGGTGTTATTTCTGAGGTCTCTGTTCTGTTCCATTGGTCTATATGTCTTTTTTGGTACCAGTACCATGCTGTTTTGGTTACCGTAGCCTTGTAGTATAGTTTGAAGACTGGTAGTATGATTTATCCAGCTTTGTTCTTTTTGCTTAGGATGGTCTTGGCTATATGGTTTCTTTTTTGGTTCCATATAAAATTTGAAGTAGTTTTTTTCGAATTCTATGAAGAATATCCATGGTAGTTTGATGGGAATAGCATTGCATCTATAAATTACTTTGGGCAGTATGGCCATTTTCACAATATTGATTCTTCCTATCCAGGAGGATGGAATGTTTTGCCATTTGTTTGTGTCCTCTCTTATTTTCTTGGGCAGTGGTTTGTAGCTCCCCTTGAAGAGGTCCTTCACATCCCTTGTTAGCTGTATCCCTAGGTATTTTATTCTCTTTGTAGCAATTATGAATGGGAGTTCATTCATGATTTGGCTCTCTGCTTGTCTATTGTTGGCGTATAGGATTGCTTGTGATTTTTGCACATTGATTTTGTATCCTGAGACTTTTGCATGTGTCCTTTAAAATAGCCAGCTACTTCTACATTCCCATGCATTTCCCTTTTTGAAAATCACTTTTTATGTTTATAGAAGGCAAATAATGATCTCACACTGGTACAGAATTTTGTAACTTACCTAGTGCCTTTACACACATTATTAGCTCATATATTTTCTCCTGGCCAACCAGCAAGGTTGTTCAGACTGGGATCATTATCTCCATTTTAAACATGAGGACACATGATCAGAGAGATGAGGTAGCACATCTATTCACATTCTCTACTGCTTCCTTAGAGAAACAAACACCTGAACACATGTCTTTCAGCTCCAGTACACTCTGCTCTTCTGTGACCTTCATGGGAGGTTCTTGGTCACCTTCAAATCATTTTAGTAAGGAGCACAGGAGGCATTTAGGTCTCACTACTATACATGTGAGATTAACTGCTCTTCTCATTACCTGGGACTCTAGTGATCCAACAGCCATGGATAAGGACAGATCACCTTGTCATAAACCACAGACCCAGGTGATGGTGTTAAAGTCACAACCTTGCCAGAATGCTCACCACTAAGCTGCTATGGTAAGCTGGGGGTAAAAAATTAAAAACCAGCTGAAGGGAAGGAAGCCTGCTAATATTCTAGTTCCTGAATGAACTGCTGGAGCAAGGCAATGTAATCTGTAGATAACATCAAGTCTTGGGCTATGTCTTCCAGGGGATTACACAGTTGGCTTGACAGTGAGAATAAGAATGAATGACGATAAAGTGAAAGCATGCTTTTTAGTAATGCAAACCTGGTGTTATAGAAATGCAAAGACCATTTTAGAAATCTGTCAGGAATTTAACTCATGCTGGGGGTGGAGGTTAAGGCTGATAATTAGGACCCATGAAATAAGTTCTAGGTTTAGCATTCTAGAAGCTGACTCCCTGTTATATGGACACATGACTTCATTTTGCACTGGGCTTTTCATTAAAAGAAGCCTAGATTTAGAGTCGGGGATCTGGGTTGGAAACCTAGCTTGACCATTTCTTTGAAATATCACCACGCATCAGTCTCTGAGCATCAGGTTCCTATCTATACAGAGAGAGCTGTTTGGAGGGTTTAATGAAGAATGCATGAATCCTCCAGGACAAGCCAGGAAGAAAAGGCAGTCTTGTCTGGCAGTAAAACATATCATTTGGCATGAACATTGTTACCAAATACTATGTAGGTGAAAATGATTGTGGATCTTAAAGATGATGGTTGTAAGCAAGAGAAACTAACTATGGAGAATCAAACCTGTTAGGGGGCTTATAGAATACAACTGACCATCCCACGGCATGATGCTACCGTATTGCATATTGCTCTTGTGAGGACAGGGTATTTGGTTTTATTCGCTTCTGTATACTCAGCACTCAAAACAGTGTCCAGTCCCTAGTATGCATTCATTTATTATTTATGAAAATAATGAACTTCTGGAGCTGGTCCCAGGAAACAGGAGAACCTGGAACCAGGACTTCCAAATCAAAGTTAACCAAAACAGCTTCAGAAGATGCCCATGGATCGCCTCCTCCATTTCTGTTGTCTTCACAGAGGTCACATTCTAATGGTCTGTTGAAGGAAAAATGTAATTACCACGAGATTTGGGTGCTTCCCAGCACAGTATAAGGTAAGAAATTAAGAACCTACAAAGTCACAAGACTTCAGGGCTGGAAGAAGTCTCAGAGACCACCTGACTTGGTCCTTTTGAAATGGATGAATCTGCAGCCCAGGAAGGCAAATTTAATTGGATAGCAGCAAAGCTAGAACTCAGGACCAAAGAGTGATAATGGAAACAATTTTTTTGATAAAAAAAATACTGTGGCTTTGAAGGAGGCAAACAGCTCCCTATCAAGGTGTGTAAAGAGGTTGGGTTAAGCAATGCCGCTGCCCAGGGTGGGGAGAATGCAGAGCTGTCAGTGTTTAAACCTAAAGGCAGCTCCCAGGAGCTAGAGTCCCTTAATTCTTGGCGAAGTGGAATTTTCAGTGAGAGAAAAAGAAAAACTCAAACACAGATAGAAAAAAAAAAAAAAAAAAGAAAACCTCAGAAGGTTTTTCAGATACCAAATTCAATAATTTGGTATTTTGCCAGCCCTTCTTCAATAATAGGCTGGCAAAAGCAGCACACATATTACATTTTCCAGAACAAATTCTCAGATTGGCTTTAAAAATCAGAAAAGAATGTGCTCCAGGCAAGATCCACTTTGGGTTTCATGAAATCCAGCTGGCTAGAAGGATTGTCAGACATGCAGGAGAAATCTAGAAAACAGATGGGGCATCTTCCTCTAATTTCAACATGGCCTTGGGATGTTCTGCAGTTGGAGAGTGGCTTGGTGGTGCTGGTCCAAGCCCTGGGCAGTGGCCACGCCCCAGTTATACTGGAAGAGACAGTGTTTTGGCAGAAACAGGTCGTGGGCACATCTGGCTGACACTAGAGTCTACACTAGGCAGTGCATGAGACCCCTTCCTTGCCAGTGAGCTCAGGATGGGACCAGCCTCCAGGGACCCAAATTGTGGTACCACCCAAAACTTCTGTCTTTTCCCTACCACCAGGCTTTATAAGCCACAGGCTCTGCAAACAGCACTGGGCTGCATCCCCACCCCAGGAGAGGAAGCAATGCCTTTTCTGGGCTGGGAAGTAACACTGGATGGAGACTGGCGGACATTCACACTCTCAGGGACTTCTCAGGGAAGAGCCTCTGCAAAGGACAGGTCCTAAAGGTCTGGGGCTCCACGGGTGTTAAAAGCCACTTCACGGTTGCAATTATGTGAGCTTTGTCCTCCCTCTCTAAACTGTCCTGTGGTGAGCTCCCTAGGGCTGGCAGGAGCTAGCCTCATGTTGTCAGCAAGGGGGCAACAGGAAGCAAAACCAGGCAGCCCACAGCCTGGTTCCTGGTCCTCTTAGATCACTCTATCTGCCCAAGAGTCTTCTTAGAATTAATAATCCTATATGTGCATATTTCCATGAGTTTATATATTCTATATTTAAACAGATCTGGGTTTCTGTATCCCTTTGGGCCATACGACAGGGATTTTCAGCAAACACAGTTTGGACGAAGGAAAAAGCAAAATCATGATGTTTCCCATTGGCAAAGTTCACTTTTGCGCTGCTATTGACATAACATATACAGCACAGAGCAATTTTGATTTGGGGTCATTACCAACCTGTTCTACAAATTCATCTAAGGGTCTCCAGAGAACTCATGAGGCCACCTGGAAAAATAGAAGGCTGACCCTGTACATGGCCGGTATGGGAGAAAGAGCCCTGGAGTTTTCCGGGCCACTGGAGTAACTACCCACAGTTCAAAAACCCATGTACCTGGGAGCTTCATTGTCCTGGATTCTCCATCCTGCCCTGCCTCTTTAACTATGACCTTGGACAAGCCATTGAATCTTTCCAAACCTCAGTTCCCTCAGATGCAAAATGTGGTAACCTTACAGTGCCATGGTGAGAATGAAATGAGGGGGTAGACGTAGATCACTTGACAGATTAAACAGGAAATCAGCGAATGACAGTTAGAGCTATCAGTACTAACGCAGGGACAGAATTGATACATGGAAGCGTTATTTTCACTGGCCAAAGGGCCAGCCAACGTCTCAATGACAGTTCCCATAGCCACATGCCACCACTGGAGGGGACATGGGAACGAGGCCTTCCCAGGCGTGAAAGTGGGTGAATCCAATGGTCGCTGTCACCTGACCTGATCCATCCTCTACTTTGGGAACCCAGTTGGTCCTGCTTCCTCCTGGAAATACTTTCTTCCTGTGGCTGCAGGGCTTCCACCTGGTCCTGCCCACCCTGGATGCTTCCCCTGGTCTCTGGGCCAGGTCTTCCTCTTCTGATTGCTCAGCAAGGGAGTTGCTGCAGGCTCCCTTTTTCTTACATCCATGCCCCAAACCATCTCGCCCAGCCTCGCAGTGTTAAGTACCATCTCTACCCCGATGACTCATAAACTCACATTCCCCCGACTTCCAGGCACACTCATCGTCTCCACTTGGATGTTCCAGCAGTATCTCCAGCATAGCGCATCCAAACACCCCACCCCAGCCTGCTCTCTCTGAGCCATCCCCATCCATTGGCAGCCTCACCTAGCCAGTTACTCAGGTCATGCTGGACTTCTGGCCTCTTCCCCTTCTCTACATCGAATCCATCTGAACATTCTGTCAGTGCTTCCTTTAGGAGGCATCTGTGCTATCCCCGGCCCCAAGTCTCCAGGATCCCTCTCCTGGATCCCTGCATACAGCCCCCACTTTCCTCCTCACTCCTCCACAGTCCACTCTCCACAGAGCACCCAGGAGTTGTCAGACCATGTCGCTTCTCTGCTCAGCACCCTGCAATGGCTTCCCAGGTCCTTCTGCATAAAAGCCAAGATCAGCCCAATGGTCACCAGGACTCCACGTGATCTGCCATGGCGCCCCCATTCATTCTGCTCCTCCCCCTCCCTCACTGGGTCCCACCCATGCGCCTGCTCCCAGCTCATCAACGCCAGCCTGCTCCAGCCCTAATAAGCCTCAGCCCTCACTGGTCTGTCTGGAATGTTTTTCCTCCAGATAACCTCCCGGCTTGTCCCTCACTCCCTTGATGTCTTTACACACATGCCAAAACCTCAGTGAGACCTGCCCCTCTGACACTAAAACTGTACGACTCCCAACACTCCTATCCCCGTCTTTTTTGCCACCAGCGAGCCACCACCTACTCTTCTTAGTTATATTGTTTACTGTCTCTCTCCCTCACTGGAATATGTGATCTGAGTGGGAAGGGATTTTTCTCTATTTTGTTTGCTGCTGTATGCACAGCTCTTAAGCTAGCATGTGGTGTGCTGTGGAAGCTCGGGCTGAACGAACACATGCCAGTCCCAGCTGGAAGTCACCCTCTGCTCCTCCCTCGTTCTCCTTTGCCCACCGTCTCGGCATTTAGTTCCCTTTAGGTTTTCACTCCACGACGTGTCCATCCAGCTGCCCAAGCGTGAACATCGTTACTTCTCCACTAAGGGGAAGAGAGTTGGAGGGAGAATGCAAGAGGAGGAAGTTACCCTGCTCTTGGAGGAGAGGAGGGTTGCAGAAGTCTCTCCAAAGGGCAGAAATACTAAGAGGACATCCGTGTCCATTTCCACACTTGCAGGTGCTGGAACAATATGCTCAGAAATCTCCTTCAACTTGACTCTTTTCTAATCAATACATTTACGTAGGCATGGCCTCAGTTTCCTCATCCCAGAATGGAAAAACAATGCCCCATCCATGGAGTTCTTTTGTTTTTTTTACACGTGAGATTCTTTGGTAAATTCTAAAATTCTATATAAATAAGATAGCATCACAAAGTTTCCTGTACATACCTTGCTCTGATCCATGCTCTAAGTGCTAAACCCACATCCCACACTACCAGCTAAATCCACTGACATGGACTTCCCCTGATGCCTCAAAATCAAGGTGTCCAAATGTGACTTGTTTTCTCTCACCCCGCCCGCCCCGCCCCACTTTTTCTATCTTGACTTCCTATCACAGCTGCCAGCTGTATGGACTTGAAATTTCAGAGTAATTGTTATCTCTTCTCTGTCCCTTATAAGGGCAATCCAACCATGCTCCAAATCTTTTTAGTACTGCTTCCATGATGCTCCTCAAAGCTGTCTCCTCACCACATCTCCAACTTGGCCTGCTTTCCCCAAATTTTGCCAGGAGCATCGCAACCGCCTTCGATGGGGGCCTCTGCACCTGCAAGATGCTGCCCACTCCAACCTACCCAATCACCGCACCCAGGGCTTTCTGCCAAAACCCAGAGAGCACCTCCACTACCCAAAGCTTTCACCCAGTTTGTCCATTACATGCACAGTAAAATCTGAAAATTCATAGCCTTATCCAAAATCCCTCCCTTCCAGCTTCAGCACCGACCATACACACCCTCACCACCCCTGCACTGACTCTATGGTAATGAAAACATAACACAGCCCTAGACTGGGAATTACCCTATACACTTAGCCTCTCAGACTTCCCTGCAGCCATTCGCTCCACCTAGAATGCTGTGTTGAAGTCCTCATTTTCCTTGAGGACCTCTGTGGTTCTGCATCCTCAAGGAGGCATCCCTAGATGCTCCCAGGGAGAGTTCAGTTCTCCTCACACCTGGCCCCACTGCTCCCTCATTCTCCCCCTGCCACACGCCTGCACATGGTGTGACCCTCTGGGCTTGAGAAAATACTGGACAATATTTAATGCCAGCCTTTTCTTAGAGAACTCATTCTGGCCCCCAGTCTTGGCCAAACATTGCTATAGCAGAGACCCGACACTAAGTGAAAGACACACAGTGGTCCAAGAATGAGGGTAGACTGAATATCACTACCAACAACGACAACCATGCATGGACGACCTGGGCCTCAGTCCCCATGCCAATCCTGAGAGTGGACAGAACTGACATCCATTTACAGATACCTACTGAGGCTCGAAAATTCCTACCCACTTGGCCAGTATCACAGAACTAGTGAGTGGCACGGTCCACGATGAAACGCTCAGTCTTGCTCAAAAGACTGTGCTCTTCAACAAGGCAACTACAACAGTAATTTACTGTATATTTAAAAATAACTAAAATAGTGCAATTGAATCATTTATAATACAGAGAAAGGATAAATGCTTGAGGTGATGGATGCCCTGTTGACCCTGATGTGATTATTATGCATTGTATGCCTGTTTCAAAATATCTCATGTACCCCATAAATATATTCACCTACTATGTACCCGCAAAAGACTGTGTCCTTGGCCCAGCTCTATGCCCCTCCCAAGAGTGAAGGTGATGAAGGCATCCCTAGGTGCTGACCTCAGACATACCACACTTCTACAGAGTGTACAGTGAAATTCCCAAGAGGAAGACAGTCAAGGTCAGGGATCCACGAAATGATGCTCCCAAAACCTTTGCAGCCCCAAGGAGCATGAGGAGTTATCAGTGGAGCAATTGAGCTGCAAACTCAGCCCTCTTATTTGGGCTTTTAGGAAGTCTTTACTGTCAGGTGGATGTTTTCAACCAAACAAAACAGGCTCCCATTCCTGCTGTGCACTGGATAAGTTCCGAAAGGTTAACATTATTAACACTCTTTCTTTCTCTTCATGCTTTTCCAAGTCTTTTTATACTGCTATTGTTTTTCTACTGAGTCATCTCTTTGAAAAAACTCCTCCTGTTCAACTCCTTTATTTTTTTTCTCATTCATAGCTCTATTGATGTCTTTTGTCTTTTCTCTTCCTTACCCCTGGCTTTCCTGTGGGTCTCTGGAACCACTAAATAAAGCCTTAGCGGATACCAGAAATGCGTGCAGAACATTTCTTTAAAAGCATAGCAGACATTGGCAACATTGATGAAACATCCTCCCCTTCCCTCCCTCCCTCCCTCCCTCCCTCCCTCACAGGGTACAGCCCAAGCCCAGACAAGATGCTGCAGCTACAGGTGCATTTATGTAATTCTACAGCACACTCATTCCAGTTAAGAACAAAATGGGAACTCCATAGGTTGGCATCTGTTTTTAAAGTAATCCAACTGCTGAGTCAAGGGTGGGCATCTCTCGTTTCCATGGTACCCATCTCAACACGTAGTTCAGTAGTGTACTCACCGGTGTACTTAGAATGCGAGCGCTAAGAGGTACCAGGAAGCACAGGTGAGGCATGGCTTAGGCTATGGAGAGGTGGGCACCACTTTCCTCTCTGCCATGGTGGGGTGGGACCTAGAGCATGTTGCTCAACCCTCAAAGAGCCTCACTTTCCTCATCTGTAAATCCGAGGTCCAAGAAAAGATGACCTGAAGATTCTTTTAGATTTAATGTGTCCCAAGTATTTTATCCCTTCAGTGAGCTGGATTTAGGGCAGAGTTCTTCAAAGTTCATGTTAAGTTTCCAGAGTTCAATCAGCAGAAAAGACACCAGGTTTTTAATCTGTCTTAGACGGCATAGTAATGGCTGTGTTACTGACTGCGGCTCTAGCACGAAATATAATCATACAGGCCTGTGCCAGCCCACCACCACCATCCTTCCCCACTGCAGAGCTTCTGCCAGAAGCTCCCCGCAAAGCAAGAAGAGTCCACTGTGGATTCCCAGGATGAAATTTTGTTATTTTGTAAAGTTCTTTTCTCTTGGTATTCATCTAAGAAAAGCATCAATTCATAATCTCAAGGCCATGAAAGGAGGGTAAAAAAAGACCAAACTGTGTCTAACACGTAGCTTTTGAAAACCAACTAACCCTTTGGGGCATTTTGTGGGATAAAACACACAGAAAGAATCAACAGGAGGATCGCATTCAATTTTAAGCCAAACTTTGCTATGCTATGGTAGGAACGTGGGCAGAGCCCGTGTTCAAGATAAATGCCCAATCCCCTTTGGGACTCCTATCACCAACTGTTACGAAAATGTAGCCGAGGACATTTTATTAGAGTAATAATGCAACGGTTGAAGCCAGACTGAGCCGGCAGGCTGCAATTCTTAGCAGCTCCGAGGTAATTGACCTGTGGCCTTTTGGTTCACAGACTCTTCACCTGAGCCAAGAAGGTGCCTGATTGAATCATAGATCTTTTATCTCTCATAACGTGAGACGGAAGAGTTCTATTAAAAATGTATGAAGCCAAGTGAGCAGGCCTCAGCTGCACTGGGAGCCCAGATCCTGGGGCCAGAGGCCATTCACCTTTCCTTTTGACAAAATCTTATGAAATAATTCATTTACACAGTGTCAGCGCGACTACATATATGTGTTTGGGAAAAAAAAAATACAAGGAGGGGAAAAAAAACAGTCAAAAATGTACTTTTTCCCTGGGTTGTAGGAAAATGATTCTTATTTTCCTGCTTAGCCTTTATTGTGTTTCCAAATTTTCTACAGAGAATATGTATTTCTTTATGAGAAAACAAACATTTTTCAAAAACAAATGTTCACATGAGTCTTTGCCCAGGCACTGACTACGTTTAAGTAGGTAAAAGATGCGGAACGGAGAGTTTATATATGGACACCTACCAAGCCTGGGAATAGTCTCTGGTTGGGTCCAGTGCAAACATCTTTAATCCCCAGAGCAAAGGGGTCCTGCCGCTCATGCCCACTCCAGGGCAGGAGCCTGGCTGGGAAGGCAAAACAATCCCTGATAGCTGTTCCCATCGCCAGGGACAAATCCTAAATTTGGCAACCTCAGGAAGTGAACAAGTTTCCTTTTTTTCCCCCAGGGTCAGAGACCTGGCATAGAAGTATAAGAGGCTGCGGAGTTTTTAAATAAACATTTTCCTCCCCAAGAAAGCCATCCAGTAATTATAGCAAACTTTCCCAGAAGAGATTCCATTTACCGCCTCTCTTTTAAGAAATTACTTGGCAACAGGATGTAATTTAATTAAAGTATTTACTTAAATGTATGTCCTCTGGGGCCTGAAGGAAACAGGACATTTTTCTAATCAACTGGCAGTTTTGGGGGTTGTTTGACCATGGGTCAGGGGTTTTCTCATGTACGTACACACACACACACACACACACACACACACACACACTTGTGCCTGCAGCTGAAACAAGAACGTCAAGATCTCCTAACTGATACGCCAGCAAAAAGCAAAACACTCTCATTTCCAGATCCTACAAAAATTCTTGGGAATGCCAAACTTCTGGCATTCTCCACTTGGCTTCGGATCTAATGGAAAAACCCCTAATTGCAGCATCTTCTCCACAAAAATCAGAAGCAGTGATTTTATTGTGGAACAAAATCTACTTTGCTTTTTAAACCCAAGTCCTGATCATTCTAGCTTAAAACGATTATATTTGGGCTGTCTGAATATTGCATTAGGTCCCAAATCCTGATTGGATTGGCTGGGCTCTGGGTTAGACTGTCTCTCAGATCTGAGGGCTGGAATTTGTGTCTTTTCTCTCCTCATCTTTTCTCTCTGTATTTCATTAAAAATGTATCCCCAGGGCCTAGAACACTGGCTGTCTAGTGCTGTCGGCGTTCAATAAACATCTGTAGAAAAAATACTTTTGCTGAGTGAAGCATGGTGGCGAACATCCTGCAAATGTTGAGGGGCAGGAGCCGGAGCTATTCCTGGGGTCAGCAAAGGCCAGGGTGGGGGGCAGATTTTGGTGCTGTGGCTTCCCGAGGATGCTAATGGGAACCTGGAGGCCTCGGATTTGGACTCAACCATCCCCTGGCTGGGGACTTCAACGGACTTGTGGAAATTCCCAGGAGGCCCCCAGCCATTCTGGTACCATCATCACCTGACATACGACCGACCAGCCTCCCCCACTGTGTGCTGCCCTCTCTTCCTCCACAAGAGACTCTGGTCTTTGTTTCCCACATGGTGCTCAGAGGCACCCAGTATAAACAGCAGCACATAAGCAGAGTGATGGGTTTTGTGCCCACTGCTAAGTCTCGGCAGAAATTCTAGGGAAGATTCTCAACATGGTTTGTGCAGATTGAGCCGAACGCTGTGATCAGAGGAGTCAGTGCAGGCTCTTAACTGCCCACATCCTTGTCTCAAACTCTGCTCCTAAGCTTCCTCTTGCACATTCGTGCCTTACCTGAAAACTAAAATAAACTAAAAACCAAGCTGCAGACTTGTGCACTTTGCAATGGCAGTCGAGGTTTCTGTCCACGGGTGTGACAGATTATTTTACGCGGTCCTGTTTTCATGATCTATTCCTCCAGCCTGTGCAAACTGCTTCGTTTATGTGGTAAGTGTGTCTTTGTGTTTTCGTTAGGGACATGGATAAAAATGTTGAACGGCACAAAGCAAAAGGCACAGTCTTGTGGCACTCCACACCAGGGGTCTTTCCAGACCAATGTCAATCCTTTAATGCATGCGTCGGGAGCAAACTGTGCAGCTTACAGAAGTCCTTAGAGAGCACTGCGGTGCTGTGGCCAAAGCACGGGTGAAGACGACAGAGAAACCAGGATGAGACTCCTCTTTGCTGCTGCTGGCTGTGTGACCTTGGGCAAGTTGCTAAATCTCTGAGCCTATTTGCTCATCCACAATATCGAAAAAAACGATGACGGTACCTTCGTCAAATGGTGAATTTGAGATTTATGTGGGACAACGTATGTAAAGGCATTAGCCTGTGTCTTACACAAAGTTTATCTCTCAACAAATAAAGCAATGTGGTGTTGTTTAGAAAGTTCACAAGGATATTAAAAGAACGTTTGTTCTACATCTCCAGGAAATCACGTATTTAGCATTTATTGTCACAATACCGACCCTATCAAAAATGTAATGCATTATTTGGCTTTGCTTCTTTTTAGAGAGCTCATGACAACTCCCAGAGATCTTCTATCAAAGCTCACCATCTGTTTAATAATGTACCCCCCCTTTTTTTTTTTTTTTGGAGACAAAGTCTCACTCTGTCACCCAGGCTGAAGTGCAATGGCACGATCTTGGCTCACTGCAACCTCCACCTCCTGGGTTCAAGTGATTCTCCTGTCTCAGCCTCCCAAGTAGCTGGGATTACAGGCGTGCACCACCACACCAAGCTAGTTTATTGTATTTTTAGTAGAGATGGGGTTTCACCATGTTGGCCAGGCTGGTCTTGAACTCCTGACCTCAAGTGATCCACCTGCCTTGGCCTCCGAAAATGCTGGGATTACAGGTGTGAGCCACTGTGCCCGGCCATAATCTATGCTAGACATTTGGTGGGAATGTTGTTACACTCTCTCATGAATTGTCCATTGTTTTCAGAATCCATCTTTACCAGTGTAATGAAAACCATGACGGTCATGGCCACCTCCTTTGTACATGTCTCTTTCCTTGTCCTGCATAGCTTTTTAAAATAAATAACTGGTTACAGACCTATGAACTCACATCAAATTCTCTGAAGAAAACGGAAAGCAGAAATCATAGAACCCTTAGGGACCCCTAGACTATTTTTTTTCTTTTTAATTACTGTGGACTCTAGCTGCTTTGTAAACCTGTTTGTCCCACACTTTCCATTTTAAGGCATTCTACTCAGTAGGAAAAATAAAAATAAAACAGAAGCTGATGAGTTCTACTTGCTCTCAGGTATTTGTTAAACATACCACCACCTGCTCTCGTCACTTCTGTCTCCTTAGTGAGAAACTTCTTATAGGCTGTGGAGGAACAGTCCATTAGACAAGGAACACACACCTGCCTTCTCCATTCTTTCCTTCACTTTGCAGATAGGAAAGCCAAGGCTCTTGTTTCTTGCCAAATCTAGTAGTCAAATTGGGAGGTCACACCCAAGACTGCAGTTCCTCTGCTTGCCTTTCCTAACGACAGTTAAGGAGTTACCGGATGGAGAAACAGAGACCCATCCCTACACTTGGTGACTGGTGGTGGACAAGGGCATGGACACGGGCTTGGACACGTGCAGGGTAAAGAACTGCACCAAAGCCTCCCTGCTGCACACAGAGCAGAGCTCTCAGGGATGCGCTGACCTGGGGCAAAAGAAACAGGCCAAAGGACTGAGATATGTAAACAATCAGTGCCAACAGCAGATCACTCTAGCTCAATAAAATGTCTTTACAAGGTAATTAGCAGTTCATAAAATCTGTTAAGTAACTTAGAAACCCGTGTACCACTCTTCCAGCATCTCCACTGCTAAAGGACCCTTGGGAAACATTAACTCTTACTGCCATGCATCACGCGGCATCAGCAAGGTAGATGGCAGCCACTCACGGCCGGGAGAATTCAAAACACTTCCTTCTGCCTTTGCTGACTGAGAAGAGAGTCCCAGATCATCCCAGTTTAACACTAAACTCATAGAGACAGCTACGGGAATGGTTGGGGAAGGAAAAGAATTGATCATAGCCTCATGTCCAGCCTCAGTTTGCTCACATGTGGAATAGGATATACCTGCCTTGTAGAGTTGTCACAAATCAGAAAGCAAGAATGGAAAGTGCCTGGCCCAGAGCCTAGCATTCTCCAAAACAACAAGTGGATGCCACTGATATGTTTGCTAGCCACAGTAGCAGCAGCAGCAGTAGTAGTAGTGGTAGCAGCAGCAGCAGCAAGAGCAGCAGCATTAGTGTCATCGCTGTTGCTGCAATTAGCTTTTGTGCCTATGGTGTCCCCCATACATTTCTCTCAAGAACCCTATGAAGTATCATCCACAGCCTTAAAATAAGAACTTAAAATTTAGGAGGGATTGGCTTGGCTTACCTTTGAGCCTGTATCCTTAAGTGCTTCTTGGCTTCTTGAATTTAAAAATCTCTTGCAAGTGAAAATACCACTCTTCTAACACAAAACAAAAAACCCAAGAAAAAAATTTTTTAAAAGCAAAAAAAAAAAAAAAGGACAACCTAAGAAAAATAACGTCTACTAAACTGCTATTAAGGAACAGTAATCATTCTCTCTCAATATGCCACACCATGAGGACATGCCATTAAGAGGATGGAAGGATGGATAGATGGATAGATGCATGGATGGATAGACAGATGGATGGATGAACAGATGGATGGAAGGCTGGCTGGCTGGTTGGCTGGATGGATGGATGAATGGATGAACAGATGGAGGGATGAGTGGCAGGACAGATGGAGGGATGGATGGGAGGATGGATGGGTAGGTAGACGGATGGGTGGGTAGGTGGGTTGATGAATGGGAAGGCCTTTGTATTTGTAGGTTTCCTAATATTTTCTGGGGCATTCCTTCACTTCATTCAAGTCTGTTCAAATGTCACCTTCTCAGAGAGGTTTTCCGTGGCCTACTTTTGTAAAACATTACACTTCATTCCCACTAATTCTCTAGCCTCTAATCCTGTTTTGCTTTGTGTAGATGTTAAATTTTTGTCTCTCTTATACTAGGATGTAAGCAGCATGAAGATTTTGACTTTGCCTTTTGAAAGCTGTATCCCCATGACTGAGAGAGCACCTGGCACATAGTAGGCACAACAAACATTTGTTAGGCAGACATGAGTGGGTGGATGAATACATACACACGAACGTCACACAAACACGTCAATACATGGTAGCATAAATTCCACTTAAATACAGACTAATCATGAATTCCAAAACTGTCTAACTCACTATAAAAGCAAGTTAGACAGCACAGTATGTCCATACACTTCCCACTGGACCCAAGGCTCATTTTCCTCTGAAGATTAAAGCCTGGGAGTGGGAATGAAAGTGAGGGAAGCCCTCTCCCTTTTTACTGTTTGTCCAGTCACTTCTATTTACCAAACTGTATCTAGAAATGAACACACAGACTCCACTAAAAGAAAAAAAACACTGAGATGAACTCTGCCCATGATATGTATGGAAGTGGGGATTGCATCAGTTTCTTTTGCTTTTTTCATTCATGTTTTTCACTCACTAGGGAACAAGTCTGTGCTATGTCCACAGTTTTGCAACCTAGTGAATCCACAATAGGGAAAAGACGATTTAAATGCTAAGTGCCACCCAGGCATGGTGGGTGTTCTGGAAGCACAAAAGACAGAGGAACCAGGGACCACATGGCCCAACAGATTCACTGGACTTGGCTCTGGATATGACACCAGGATATTCAGGAAACCTGACCTTCTGCCACCACTATGAGCTGGAAAAAAAGGTATCTTAGCCCCTTGAGACGGAGCTCAAAAGCCCTCTAGGGTAAGGATCAATGGGATAAGGATCCAGCTCTTCAGAATGAGTTTCTGTAGGAGGGTAAGATCTGTCTCAACTTTTAAAGTTAAGTTTGTTTATGAAAAATCAGTCTTGGCTGGGCACAGTGGCTCATGCCTATAATCCCAGAACTTTGGGAGGCCGAGGCGGCTGGATCACTTGAGGCCAGGAGTTCAAGATCAGCCTGGGCAACAAAGTGAAATCCCGTCTCTACTAAAAATACAAAAATTTCCTGGGTGTGGTGGTGCATGCCTGTAATCCCAGCTACTTGGGAGGCTGAGGCAGGATAATCGCCTGAACCCGGGAGGCAGAGGCTGCAGTGAGCTGAGATCCCACCACTGCACTCCAGCCTGGTGACAGAATGAGTGACACTGTCTTAAAAAAAAAAAAGAAAAAAAATTCAACCTCACCTTTTAATAGCAATACTTTCTGAAAGCTCCAGTTTTCTTCTCATATAGAGTACCAAACAATGAAAAAGAATAATTTAAAAAATGCAATAAATTTCAATCCCATAGTCTTGAAAATATGACCAGGCTAGCTGTTTGGCACAAATGTGGACATTTAGGATGCAAACAGCTACTAGACTTTTCCTTGTATGTTCTGTAAAGAAAGGTGGATTCAGTTTAAGCTGAAGTTTATCCTTGTAAGGCTGCATGTAAGGCTGCAGGGAAATATCAAGGAATCCTCGAGGTGGCTTTAGCGTACTTAGTGCCAAGCCCTTCTGCCACACTTGAAGAAGCTAAGACCCAAGTTCTGGCTGTGAGTCTTCCCTAGACTTGTGTAACCTTGGACAAGCCCCTCAATTTCTCTGTGCTTCCTCTCCTGTAAAGTGAACGGTTTTGCTGGCATAACCATCCACTCAGTTGATTCGATGACTTCTGGCTACAAAGCCACTCTACTCTGACACCCAGAATCCCACGACTCCCTGACTGCAGGTAGCACTGCAGGCTTCCCAGAATCCCACGACTCCCTGACTGCAGGTAGCACTGCAGGCTTCCCAGTGCCCCTGCCTTTTCTGCCCTTCTTCTTCCTGGGAAGCCTCCTGTCAACTCTTGAAGCCCTGGTGCAGATGTTACCTACTGTTTTAAGAAAGCATTCCCTAACCAACCATGCAGTTAGTCTCTCCCATTCTGTAAACCTTTCTCAACTACCTATTATACCATTTACCAAAGCATCTTTCAGCTGTATGTTTGCAGACTTGCTGTACCCTGTGAGGGCAAGAGACCTGTTTCAGAGAGGCAAAATGAGTAAACAGCTGATGGGTGAATTCGAAAACAAAATAACAAATTTATTTAGCTTTCTGTCTTCTCTCACGAGCGTTTTGTAATAAGGCAGAAACAATGCATTTTGAGAAAATGACCACTCCTACAAGGCAAGAGCTTCTTCCTCCATCTGAGAGCTTCCTACACTTTAAGGCAAGTGGGCTAAGGTCATAGATTTCCTTAATAGTTCTATTGGTGACTCCTTATGGGTGACTATTACCCTTGGTCCTTACAAGGTATCACTCAGCAGGTCCTATGTAGAATGTTCACACGCACAGGTGTTAAAATGTCTGTTTTTGTTCCTAAATACAATCAGTCGAATCCACATACTGTACCTAAGTCAGCAAGAAAAGTTATATATAGCTGGAGGCTAAAAATAATTTTGGAAAAAAATGCAACTCTAAATATCCAACTTCCTCTGCTAAAATCTTGTCCTTTTAAAGCCGGGAATTTCCTGGTATCACTTGAATATTACTGATGTTTTATCTCCCCTAAAAGGCTCATCAGGATTTTATGCCAACAGATGGGAACTCTGGTTTCAGACAGGATTTCCTGCCTCATCACTACACCTTCTGGCTGAATCTAGAGCCAAAGCAATAAAATGTATTGGCTTTGCCTTCCTGCCACTCCAGGCAGGTGTGACAATCTGACCACAAGTCAGCTTTGGCCTTTGCTTTCTGAAACCAGGGCTGCCACTGTATTAGGCTGGGTGGAACGGCACAGGAGGCTCTGACACTCCTCTGCCTCCCACAGCCTCCCTCGGGCGTCCCTAGCCCTGGGTTCTCGGTGCCCCTGGTGCTTGCTTTGCACAGAGTCATCGTTAACAATAAAAGTACCTCGACTATGTATGTGAACATCTCTCACCACAGTGGAAGCTTCTTGAGGGTAGGGCTGTGTCTTATTCATTTTTGTGACCTTAATGCTTAGCATGTAATAAGAGCTAAGTAAGCCTCTCATGAATGATAAATGAAGACCAAGTCTCCAATAAAACTATTACGGAAATCTATGACCTTCGCCTACTTGCTTTAAGTGTAGGAAGTTCTCGGATGGAGGAAAACCCTCTTGCCTTGTAGGAGTGGTTGTTTTCTCAAAATGCATTGTGTCTGCCTTCTTGCAAAATGTCTGTGAGAGAAGACAGAAAGCAAAATAAATTATTTTGTTTATGAATTCACCCATCAGCTATTTACTCATTTTGTCTCTCTCTGAAACAGTCTCTTGCCCTCATGGGGCACAGCAGGCCTGCAAACATACAGTTAAAAGATGGTTTGATAAATGGTATGATAGGTACATGAGAAATGTATACAGAATGGGAGAGGCTAACTGCACGGTTGGCTAGGGAATGCTTTCTTAAAAGAGTAAGTGACATCTGCATCAGGGATTCAGCAGGCCTTCTGCTGCACTATCAAGGGCATACTAAGTCTGGGCCACCCAAAAATGTGAGGATGCGATGATGACAACAAGCACAACCATACAGGTGATGATAGGGATAGTGGCTGCCATTTGTTGAGTACTTAGACATGTCTGGGAAAACCCGTGTGACATATTACTTACTCCTCACTACAACCCTCAGAGGTAGGTATTATTATCAGCATCTCCTCATTAGGCAAGAACTGTGGTTTGGAGAGAAGATGCAACTTACATGAGATCACACAACAATGAAGCCAGGAATTTTACACTATTACTAAATTCACTTCTTTATCAAATACCACAGAAACAATGTAATGATTAAAAATATTTCTAAGTCGGCTTGGAAGAATATCTGTTTTTGGAAAATGCTGTACCATGCACTATACTACCTTCTGGATTGGGTAAATTCTCCACCACTGCCCACATGGATAAGCTATGGAAACAGGTCTCTTCTGAGCACTAATGTCAAAAGAAGCCAGCTAGCCTCATGGCACTGGCCTGACCCTCAGAGCCAGCTTTCTCTCTGTAGGGGAGTGCTGGGTGGTGCATGCACGGTGCCATCCCTCTTACTGTCTATCCATCCTCCTCACTTCCTTAATCAACATGACCCACACAGAATACAAATGGGAGTCAAGAGTGGCCACCATGAAACTGTAGGAAAATGAAAATAAAAATGGATTGATTTTCAATGCTAGTTAGCCCAAAAACCTGGGATGTATTTTTTCACTTTCCCAGGACAGGGGTCAAGTGGGCCAGCCCACATGGTTTCAGGAATTTAGTGTTTCTGCCAAACAAATTGGCTGAGATTAGACTATTAATCCATTGAGTTGACAGATTTCAGCATTGCTTCAAACTAGAGGCTTCGGGACTTTACAAAAATGTGCGCTATGGGGGAAAATATAGATGGATGGATGGATGGATGGATAGAGTACAGATATACTTTACATATATATATAGTGTGT
This sequence comes from Homo sapiens, assembly GCF_000001405.40. Taxonomy (NCBI): domain Eukaryota; kingdom Metazoa; phylum Chordata; class Mammalia; order Primates; family Hominidae; genus Homo; species Homo sapiens. The sequence continues at coordinate 92,020,232 of NC_000015.10, read as the reverse complement.
GTGTGTGTATATATAGTGTGTGTGTGTATATATACACATGCACACATCGCATATACACTGAAGCTACAAGTCTACTTGGCTGGTAAAAAACTTGAGGTACTCAGAGAGAGGCTCATATCCCAGATATATAACAACTGAAAAAAGTCTGTCCCCACCTTGTAAATGGATCACATTCAGGGGAAGAGAATGGTCAACAGGCAGCAGTTCTTTGGAAGCGCCCTCTCTCAGGGCTCTGTATCCATGTCGCTTCCCCCACATGGTTCCACGAGCCTTGGGCTTTGATACAGTCCTCACTGCCCTGACATGAAGGCCACTCTGACTCCCTTCTCCTCTTCCGTATCTGGGCAGGTTGCCACCAAAACCCTGAGGTCTCTGCTGTGGGGCACCCGACAGACAATAAGGCACCCAAGTAGAAAGGAGCCACCCCACAAGTGGCAAGGCTGCTGGGCTCTGTACATATCTAACACACACACCGGCTGGAGTTCATCCTCGGGAAAAGGGACAAAGGCCTCCCTTTCCTGCCTGCCCATGAAACTGGGCGATCAGCTAAAATCTAGAAAGTAGATAGGCTTCAAGAGGAGGGTTCTGTCATAGGACAATCATTCCCCACAACCCTAGATTTCTACCCAGCAAACTCTTGACCATCCCTCAAGATGCAGTTCAAGTTTCCTGCTGTACAAGGAGTGCTTCCAGCGTGTGTCGTACCTTAAACACCACCAGCTCTCCTGGGCCTAGGGCAGGGCTTGGCCATGGCAGTGATTAACGAAGCTTATAAATAGGAGGAAGCCTCTGGGGGTGAAGGGGAAGAAAGTAATATTTACTGAACACTTAGCATGGAAGAGCTACATGCTTTGCCTTTACCTGATTTGATTTCCCTATGACTTTCATGAAATCAGTGCTCTCACTACCCCAAGTCACAGAGGAGCAAGCTGAGGCTTTGAGAAACACATCAAACATAATCCATAGCTTGCCCAGGGTCACAGAGCTGGTAAGTGGTAGAGCCAAGAGTCAGGCAGATAGTTTGACTCCAGGGCACCCTAAATCTCACACACAACCTCTGCCTGCACAAGTGAGAGGCAATGAGCAAAGTCACCCTGGCAGGCTGAAAGCAGCAACCGGCCAGCCCACACATGCTACCATTAGGAACCGCGCATCAGCCCCTCCCAGGACGCACACACCTGCCTCGTTAATGACGCACACACTCCTAGTTAAGACATAGAGTTCACAGCAACAGTTCAGCTGGAGCACTCTAAAAATAGCCTCCTGGGGGGAAAAAAATTCCCCATATGGCACCTTGTCCCAGGCCCAGCACCAGGGGAGTGATGGTAGCGGCATCAGATGCTGCAGTCACATTATCGTAACTGAGGGTCACCCAGCTTGCACCTGGATGCCTCAGTGGCCAGGCTCTTAGATTCACAGACTGGGAGGGCGACTGAAATGGGGAACACACTGGGGGACATCCCTGCACTCCAACCCACCCCGTGATCCCCTCTGATGCCATGCTCACCCACTCAGGTGCAGCCCACAGGTGAGACAGGCTCCCCACTCCTGGTGGCCCGACGGACGCCAGTCCTCCCTCCTGCCTCACTTCTCCTGGATTACCACAGCAGCCCCACCTTATCTGCCAGACCTGAGGTCAGGCTGCCAGGAGGCTGGTGAGGGGACTGAATGAAACCTGGCTCTGAAATGCAGAGCTTCCAATCCCTGCGGAAGAGAAGTGGCAGTATCACAAGGTGATGGCTGCCTGCTGCCACTTCTGATGCCATGAGAGATGCTGGTGGGGTCGTGGATGTAACACTGGTTAGGAGGGAGGGAGCACCATGTTCTGTGGAGGTGTGACCACGTGAGGCTGAAGCACCCAAGGTCACTGCTCTGAACCATCACCAGGGCCCCTGCTGGCTCTCAAGGACTACTGTGCACAGTAATGCAAGGATGGTGCTGACAGCAGCCCCTCACCAGGGAAACCCAAGTGACCTGGCCAAGGCCAAACAAAGACTTAGCAACAGGTTTGTTAAAACCTAAGTCCCTGACTCCCACCCAGTTCCCTTCCAGCTATGCCAGCCCCGTCACCGCCCCAAGGCCTGGCCTCACATCTGTCTTCTTCAGCCCATCCATCTCAGTCCCTTGTACTCGGGTACGCATCAGCCACAGCCCAGCCCTCAACCACATCATCACCTTCTGCGTTCCATCTCTGTCATCTCATCGCTGGCACCTCCCATCCATCCTCCTCCACTCATCAGCAGCTTGCCTGCTTCATCAAGAAGTTTCCCTCCGACCTCTCCAAACCTCCAACTGTTCTGAGCCTCCTGCCCTTCCAGGAGTATGTGGTGGGCTAGTGTGCTAGTGTGATGGGCCCCTATCTCACTCACCTCTGCCTATGTCTCCAAGCCTCCACCCTGGTCTGCTGGAGCAACCCCCACCACCCAAACAAGATCCCTGGCTGTCTGAGCATCCTGGGAGGTGTCATGTGCCCCTGGTAGCTTCACCTTCCCTTTTCGCTCATCCCTGTGAACTCCTGAGCCAATCCTCCACAAGAATCATTCCAGAATTTCTCCTCCCCAAATGTCCACACAGGCCTTCTCCCACCCTCCCCTACCACCCACAGCCATCACCCTCTCATTGAACATCCCTAAGAAGCAGTGGCTATTTTGTGTCAGCAACCCTGCTCCAGTCCTCTGTTCCCCTAAATATCCACCTCTACACCCATTTTCTTCCACCCCTGGATTTGAGAAGGGGAGCGCCATCGTGTCCAGCCCTTCCCCGCCTTTTCCAGAACATGCTTCACACACCGCTTCTTCTCTTTGCCATGTGTTCAACACTAGGTCCTTCCCTGTCAGGGAACATAATTTGGTTTCACTTACAGCTTTTTAAGTTTATATAAGGATCCCTGCTTCCTTTTGCTACTTAGATGTTTTCAATGCCACCTGCTCTTTCCCTACCCCCCCCCAATCCCAGCTCCTCCAACTCAATGGAAACAACATTCTTAAAGATCATCCGCACCTTTGAGGGATCAGTTCCAATAACCAGATCTTAACCCTCATTCTCCCTAATCTCCCTGCAGCAGCTGAAGCTGCTAATGTTTGATGTTGTCTTCTTTGGGCTCTTTCTCCTTTGCAAATGGTATCTAGTCGCTTTTTATGGTGCCTCTTAACCTTGGAGTCCTCCTTTATCTGTTCACTCTCCTTCTTCAGCCCATCAAAAGTGGGTGTTGAGTAGCTGATCCTCTGTATCCTTTTCTTCTCCTCTCTTTGAAGGAAGTGGTCTCCCTTGTGACTTCTAGAGAGATCCACACTACAGAGAAAATTTTCAAATGTGCGATCAAGCCCTAGTCTTTATCTTAATCCCACATAACTCACTTTGAGATGTAAGCATTTGGATTCTCATTGCCACCTCAAATCCACAGGCCCGAAGTTCATCTTCCATCCTCCCCCAATCTTTCCCTCCTCCTCCTCCTTTTATGACTGTGACCATCTGTCACTCACTCCCCCTGTCTTTGTGGTCTTCTTCCTCATGTCCCATCCATCCTTGCTTTGATAACTCTCTGGAATTCATTCTCTCTCCTCCATTTCACAGTCAGTATCCTGATGCAGCCCCTTATTAATTCATTCTTTAAGCCATGCAATAGTCTTTCACACTAGTCTCTCTGCGTCCCATCTCTTTGTCCCGTGCTGCACACTACCTACCTCCATGTCAACTTACAAAGGCCATAGAGATTGCCACTGCCTAGATCCCAAGGGATCAGGACGACATTCCTTCCTTTAGCCTTCAAAGCCTTCTTCAGGCTGGGCTCAGTGGCTCAAGTCTATAATCCCAGCTGAGTTGGGGGGATTGTTTGAGGCTAGGAGTTCAAGACCAACCTAGGAAACACAGTGAGATCTCATCTCTACCAAAAAAACAATGTTTGATATGCATTAGTTTATATCAAATACATAATATATATATCTATAACATCTATCTATCTATCTATCTATCTATCTAATCTATCTATCTATCTATCTATCTATCTATCTATCTATCTATCTATCTATATAAATATATATACAACAAATCTGCAACATCAAGACCTGGTTTGCTATCTCCCAGCCTTACATCTTTGGGCTTTTTGCACATCATCTTCCTGTCCAGAATGTCTAACTCTCTTCTTGGGGTTTGATAAAACCCTATAATGTCTAGCAGAAATTTCATCTCCTCCTTGGAGTGCCCTATCCTGAAATCCTTTCTGCCCACTACTTTAATCCTCTGAGGAGTGTCTCTGCAATTCATTTGGTGACCAACCACATGCCAAATCATTTGTACCTTATTTTAAATTTCCATTTCGTATTTTTCTTATGTCTTACTTTTCCAGCTATCAGCTCCTGCCTTCACCAGTTCTTCTTGGCCCCTGTTTCTGAAGCCATGTTCCTATAAGCTCGGGCCTTCCTGATTGAGCAAATGGGGTCAGAGCCTGGGCCCCACCAGCAAGCAGGGACTGGACCAGTCTTATCATCAGCAATGCTTGGGCAATGCCCACAACAGTTACCCTTAGCAGCCTGTTCACACCCCACGCTCACTGCCATGTGTAAACTCTAGGTTCTGGCCATCTTCCTGCTTGCTTACTGTTCTGCCTCTCCCTTGGGAGTGAAAGCTGTCCTAAACCCAATATGGTTTGGCTGTGTCCTCACCCAAATCTCATCTTGAAATGTAATCCCCATGTGTCAAGGGAGAGACCTGGGTAGGAGGTGATTGGATCATGGGGGCGGTTTCCCCCATGCTGTTCTCGTGATAGTGAGGGAGTTCTCACGAGATCTCATAGTTTAGAAGTGGCAGTTCCCCCTGGGCTTTTCTCTCTTTCTGCTGCCTTGCGAAGAAGGTACTTGCTTCTTCTTCGCCTTCTGACATGATTGTAAGTTTCCTGAAGCCTCCCCAGCCATGTGGAACTGTGAGTCAATTAAACCTCTTTCCTTTATAAATTACCCAGTCTGAGGTAGTATCTTCACAGCAGTATGAAAATGGATGAATACACCCGCCAACAGGACCTACGGAAAGCTCCTGGCATTAAATGTACCAAGTTGCTCACTCCTATGCCTAGCTCTTGCCTGCCCAAGCCCCCAAGGATGGACCTTGCTCATCAGTAGGACATCACTCCAAAGAGCTCTCCCACCTGAAACTAGAAATGGTGGTGCCCCTGCTTCCCAGTATTTCTCTGCTGTCCAAGGCTTCTGAAAGCCATGCCTTAAGCTTAGCCATGGAACCAAGAAAGAATGCATCAGCCTTTTGGGGGACTGCAAACCAAACAGTGGAGCTTTTCCCCTTAGGAAGGACTTACACTCACAGCTAGCTCAGTTCCCTCCACATCAGATCCAGGCCTGATCCTCCTTACCCTCCTCCTCCACCTCCCTCAATGCCTACTCTGTCTCCTTGCCAAGCCATGACGCTGAGTTCCCAGAATGCTTGGGACCTGAAAACCTCCCACCCTTCTCCCTCCACAGAGAAGGACAATATCCTCAAAGTGCCCCATTTTCCTCACCACTTCCACCATATAGCCTGGCAGACTAGGCACCCAATAAATGTTGTATAAGCAATAAATGTTGTTAATTTGATTTTTAAAGGCAAGTGTTTTAGTGGACAAGTGGAGGAGGAAGAGGTGGGTGTTTTGTGACAAGGAGGAGAGGGCAGGTTTCCATTTTCCCACTGCTTTTTAGCCATTAGGCCCCTTTTTCTGAGTAGTGTTTAAATGCTGGCTCATTTCCTGTGTATGCAAAGCCCATGGCAAGTATAGTTTGGTGCCCATAATAGCAATAAATTATGACTGTAATTGAAAATACGGGCCTAGAAGGAAACCCTAATCACGGGGCATTCTCACTCCTGCAGCCCTCCGAAGAGTGCCAGTTTTCTTTCCAGCTCTTTCTTTGCCTCTCTGCCACCCACGCTTCACATCTGTGCCCAGGTATTTGGCTTGAACCGGAGTTGCACTTAAAAGAGCCGCAGGTGGTCCACTGCCCCCGTGGCCCAGTGAACTGTGATCTAGGTGAGACGCCCATCAGGCTTCTGCATTTTCTTTTCCTTGGGAGGAAACAAAGGTACTGATTTTCCTCCATATATTTCTCCCCTGCCAAGGTGCCAGCCGAGACAAAGGAAAATGGGCTCAGGTTTAAGCTTTAGCCTGGATCTGGGGAGATAAAGAGGCCTTAGCATTGCTCACTGGGGGTAAGATTGTGCCCTCCTGGTCCAGAAAAGATGGGGGTGGGAGTGACCACGCGAGGGGAGGTCACCTATTTTTGGTGAAAACCTACTGTACGCTCAGCCTTTTACATAGAAAAACCTGCTTAATTCCTGCCTGACCTCTGTCACCTATTAGGACAGCATATTCTTGAGCAATCTCACAAGGTGAGAAACTGAGGCTCAGAGAGGTTCAGCATCTTGTCCAGTCACTGAACTGCATGGCGCAGGTCCAGGAATTAAACCCCACAGGTCTGACTCAAAGTCCAAATCCTTCCTCAACATCCCCTGCCAGCAGGACCTCTAAAGGGCCTTTTAGATGCCATGATTTTATGACAGGTCTATAGCTCAGCTGGATTTAAAAACAAGAAAGAATGTTTGATTGTGAGTGACATTTTCTGTATCACTGAAGAATGCCTGTTTGTCTCTTCTTAATACTTTAAGTCATCAGCTGAGAAGTGTAACCTAACTCGGCGGGTGGCTGGGGCACCTTGTTTCAAGGCTCCCTGTGCTGTGCTCCTCGGGCACATCAGACCACAGGAACAAATCTCATGTCACCTTCTGCCACAAAGGGGTCACCACTATCCAAAACGGCTGGTAGGGTTGAGGTCAGATCACCATGGCAGCCAACACAGCACCTGGCCCAAAGAATAGGCCACGTACTGCAGGAACATCAGAGGCGTTTGGCCGCAGCACCTGTGTGACTCAAACCAAGCCTCAACATCTATGAGCCTCTCTATTCATCCACGAAATGAGATACCAATATCAATCCATGCTGCCGAGAGAACTGATGAGTAATTAGAGTCCAAGTTCACATTCCCTCTATGCTGAGAAGGGCCCGGTCTTGCCCTTTGACAAGTCTAGAAAGATGGCTCTCTCCCCCTAGCTTCAAGGTCTGCCACATGCAAAGCCACCCATCTGCACACAGGCTTCCTTTCTTCTAGTCCAGTGGAGATGTCAGTCTCCCTCTCTCTGGAAGCTGAAGCCTCGTAGCCAGAACTGTGGGGCCACTGGCTATTTTCCCTGGAGGACCGTGTGACGCAGGGTCTTTTAATTTTCAGGCTGTGAGAGCTTTGATCCATAACCTGCTACCGCAGTTGTTCTTTTACATTCAACAAATGCCATTTTCTTTTTCATGAAGTACTTCTCTGAAGTTATTCATCTTTGTATTCACTGGTGATTTATTTGTTCTTTCTCTAGCTCCTTGGGGATGCTCTGAGGATGTTTCTACCTCAGTCGAGCAGGGCCTAGAGTTAAGCCTCGTCTGAGCCTTTTTTTTTTTTTTTTTTTTTAAATTAGAGACAGCATTTCATCATGTTGCCCAGGCTGACCTTGAACTCATGGGTTCAAGGGATCTGCCCACCTCAGCCTCTCAAAGTGCTGGGATTCCGGGTGTGAGCCAGTGCTCTCACAGGGGAAAACCATGTACCTGTACAAGGTTCTTCATCACAGTCTACATCAACTCCAAGGAAAACAATTTCTAGAGCAATGTGGTCAGCGATGGGAAGGGGACACTTTCCACAAGGCCAACACCACCTCTGGGTCTGGCTTTATGTATTTCTGAAGTGCCTGCTATTCTGAGTCATGAAATGAGTGACACACATGCTCCCTTGGCTTCAAGGTGACTAAATTCCCAGAACTGTGGGCTGGGAAGGGACCTTGAAAACCTTCACTTTCAATTTGCTCATTTCACGGCAAGAAAAGCCCAAGAAAGCTGAGCCCTTTCCTGCTCTTATCCAGACTGATTCCTAATGGCGAGCTGTTTGCTCACGTGCAAGCTGCTCCAATCTCAAAGGCTTGTAACTGAGAAGATGAAAATACAATGGTCTTTGTAAGAGGCAACAAGGACAGCAGAAGATGCACTCATGCAATAAACGGCACTGATTATTACATAAAGGCAACCTCAGTGACAGTGGGTTGCTTGCATTGCTGCCCGAGGCTCTGCAGGGCTCCGCCTTCTGTCTCTTCCTCTCTGGGCTGTCTTTGCACCACCCTCCTTCTCCTCTGAGGCTTCAGTCCCCGCTCATGTGCTGGTGATTCGCTGGCTCTCACCTTCAGCTGTGACAAGTTTACTCAGAAGCAGCAGTCTGTGACCCTGGGGACAGCTGCCAGGCTGAGCCATTCCAAATAACACAGCAAATTGAGAGGTTCCCTGATGTTCACAACCTCTTGCGTATAACTCGCTCTGTTCACATCACTAGAGGGCTGCTAGCCACTGCCGTTACTCACCCATTCAATGGTCAGGTCCTGGGCTGTGACTGCAGGCCAAGCACCACGCTAGGAGCCAGCGATGCTGCCCTTGGCAAAGCTGAGCCCTTGCCCTAGCACAGCTAACATTCCTTTGAGAAGGTGAGTCAGTAAATAACAATATAAATACATCACAGGGCAGGCACTGATGGCGCCAAGGGGGTTAAAAAGCAAGGAATGAGAGAGAGAATAACTGTCAAGGAAGTGGGGGATTCTTGCATTTTACATAGGGTGACCCAGGTAAGCCTCTCTGATAAGATGGAATTTTTTTTTTAAGAAGCATGTGTTTAAATTTTTATCTTTTTTTAAAACTGATATATAATAATTGTACATATTTATGGAGTACAATGTGATGTTTCCATACATGTGACAGTAAGGTGACTACAGTCAACAATAAGGCATTGTAATCTCAAAATAGCATGAGAAGAGGATTTTGTGTGCTCCCACAACAAAGAAATGATGAATGTTTGAGGTAAGAGCTATGCTAATTACCCTGATTTGATCATAAGGTAAGATGGCATTTGACAGATGTGGGAAATAAGTGAGGAAGAGAGCCATTTGGATATCTGAGAGAAAGCGTCCCAGGTAGAAAGGAGAGGAAATGCAATGGTCATGGGATAGGACCCTGCCCGGAGCATTCCAGAAGACCAAGATGTCCGGGGTTGCTATAGCCAGTGAGAGAAGAGGAGTGTGGCAGGGGCCCTGGTCATGTAGAGCCTTGAAGGCTATTGTGAGGATTCTGGTATTTTCCAGGCATTGGACTGACTTGATCTGACTTGGGTTTTAGCAGGATCGCACTGGCTGCTGTGCTGGGAACAGTCTGTTTAGATGGCTACTGTGAAGATCCATGTAAGACACAATGATGGCTTGGACTGGAACAGCCAGCTGGTGATGGAGGTGGTGAGGAGTAGGGGGAATCCCAGCTATTTTTTCAGAACAAAGTTGATTGGATCATAGAGACAGTTGTGAAAACAATCAGGGCCCCCTGAGACTGCCCAGTGAGTCTCAGCCCATCATTTATTACTGGGCTTGGGGCTTCATGCGGCAGAGGGGTCATCATGCAGAAAGATCAACAGGGCTCATAAAAAATTAAGTCCAGCCGAACATTTGATCCCCACTGACATCAACAACAGAGTTACAGGAGAAAAATTTAAATGAATTTTGTTTTGCAGACAGGTAAGGACAATGGCACTGTAACAGGAAGCAAATGCCTACACAGAAGTCTAATAATTACATAAAAATGCACAAGGATTTATTATTATATACTAACACCAATCAATATGCCATTGATTGATGGGTTCTAATATGCATGAGCTGTTAATAAGTGTCCTAGGAAGAAGTGAAAAAGGGTCCCTAGACCAAATGAAACTGAGAAACGCTGGACTGAATGCAGTTAAACTGGTTTCTTTGTGCAGAACTGCCTAGGGGCTTTAATATGTTAACGTGCATCACCATTCTCCAAAAGGGAGCTTTATCAAGACCATATATTTTATTGGTGTTGTTTTAATGGAGCCCCTTCCAAGAGTAACGTTATTTGAAACACTTTAGAGAAACACTGAATAGGTTACATAGATCACCTGAGTATCTACTCTGCAGTCTAGCATCCCATAATTCAACAAAAACTTTCCAGGGTCCTGTGCTGAGTGTTGCAGATATAATGAAAAGTAAAGATCCTAAGTGTCATGTGGTAGTTTATCCTAGAGGGGCTCAAGGTACCTGCTCCGCCATCTCCCATTTGCTTGACTCTGGGCTGTCAAGAGTGCGGTGAAATTGCAGGGAGGAGCTACACAATGAAGTCTGGGGGAGTCCAGCCCACATGGCACTTCTCCATAAGACTTCCATGTGCCACTGTCCCTCTCCATGAGCACGGGGCTTTGGAAAATGCCTCTATTGGATGAATGCACACCTTTCCCTCATTGCACATCGCCTGCCCATCTGAACTAAACAGAAAGGACTTCAGGAAAGAAACATCTGTGGGACAAGCTTTGTATTGCTTCATGTTACTTCTCTTTGGTCCTCATTACAACTCCACACTGATAGTAGCTAACATTAAGGAAGCTTTTAGAAGGAGGTAAGTTCTGTCCATGCACCATCCCATTTAGACAGACCTTTGAAGGATGTGGGTACTGTCATTCAAAATGTTGGAAGGAAACTGAGACTTGTTGACCTTTGATGACCTGCCTAAGATCACACAGATCATAGTGGTAGAGCCAAATCCAAATGGCACCATGGTGTCAAAGCCTGCTGTCTTCCTGACACACGAATCCCTGGTTTACTTATTGCACAGGCTGTACAACAAGCATCAGGCCGTGCTGGAGACATTCTCGAGTTGGCTTTTGCAGCTCAGAAACTGAGTGGGCTGGCAGGAGTTAACCCAGGGTACTGCTCAGAACCTGAGTCACCTAACCAGGCTCCTGAGTGACAGAATGACAGAGATGTGAAGGAGCCCAGGACACTTTGTATCTGTTCTCTCGTGGTTGAGCTGTGGGCCCTGGACTATGACCCCAGCAGAACTGGCTCTTGCTTATTTCAATCCTAGAGTTGTTCCTCCAGAAAATATTCTGATGGTGAGTGAGGCAGAGGTTTGCAGACTTCCCAACTGTAACTCAGGGGACGGCTCGGCAGAGCATAACATTTGGGACAGCATGCAGCCCTTGACCTTGACTTGGATGATGGCTGCGGTCAGTGAGAAGAAAAACACATTGGCACAGAGAAATATCAGAGTGTACAAATGTCATTTCAATTAAAAAGAACATGTCAGAAGTAATATATTTTTCATTCTCTCTACAAATGACTCCATCTACAATATGATACAAAATCATTTTACACATCAGAAATCCATAAAATCTCTTCAAATAGAGTTTCCTAGCTGAAATATTGCTCTTCTTGGTAGACAGGGCGTTGATCTGCCTTTTTGACCATGACTGATGCTATCCAAAGCAGATTTGCTTTTTGAAAGGATTTGCTTTTAGTTTCAGTTTTACATTCACATATATCATATAAACGATTATGGTCCCAGTTATTGTTTTCTAGGCGTAATAATCACATTTGCCAATATCACTGAAAAACATCATTGAGAAAACAACTTATACCTATCTCTGTGCATGTGTGTATAAAACCCTTATGTTCTACCAAGTTGAACACAGAATTTTAAACCTGATTTATGATTTCAGTGTCAATGTTGACTCCCCAAAACCTGTAAAAATGAATCTAGATGATTGTAGTATGCCAGTTTAGAAAGGAGGTCACAAGTCAAGGAATTTAAAACGAAAACATCTTAACTGCAATTTATTTTTTTAGCTCATTGAATGTGCAACTCAGCTAGATACTTCATAAACATTACTTCATGTTCACAAAACCCACATGGAACAAGTGTTATGATTCTGTTTTTACAGCAGGGCAAACTGGAGTTCAGAAAGAATAGGTGACTTGCCTTTGGGGCACTGCACAACCTGGCGGCGAAAGGGGGATACGAACCCCAGTCTGTGTTACCATAAAGCCTGAGCTCCAGGGAGGTCTCACTTGCTGGGTCCAGGTTTTGATCAAATCAGACCCATGTCAACCCCAGTGGAAGCCATTTCAAGAAATATAGCAATCTGAATTATGTGTTATGTGTGTATGTGTTTGCAGGAAGAAAAAAAGGTCTTTCAGTTTTGCTAGTGGGTCATTTAGGGACCAAGTATGGGGTTGCTCTCAAGTTCATTCAAGCAATGGCACCTGTGATTGGGTCCTCCTGTTTACCGAGCCGACTTCTTTAGAAAAGGCAACCTTTCTGGACCCATCGGAGACATTTGACCTGTAGGTTCGAAATCACCAAGTCCTCAAGGCTGTCAGTATGGCTCTTTCTAAAGTCTTTCTTCTGAAAAGAGATGCTTCCAAAAATTTAGAAAATAAATAAACTTACAGTCTTTGAGGTACTACCCTATAAACTAGTAGAGCTTGGATCGCTCTTCCTTGGGTAAAATACTCATGGTAATCCCAAAATACCCTAATTTTATGCTTTGGGGATTATTTTAATAATTTAATGCATGATGCCCCAAAACTTACAGAACAGGAAAAAGAAGTATACTACTTTCCTTCCTCCACGCCCTCTCCAGTTCTTCTAATTTTCAGAAAAGCCTACTAATTCTAAGGCCTCTAAAAATCTGCGAGAGGTTCTTAGCGTCAATTAAATCATCCACTTCCCTTGCTCCTCCCTTCCTATGCAAGGCCATTCTAGTACATACAACCCAAGCCCTTCTGCCACTCACCATGAGGCAAGCCTCCTTCCACACTATCCCTATTCAGTGACTCCTCTTCCTCTGTTCTCCCCCAAAACAACATCTGACATCCACCCCATCTTGTTCTCTCCCCGACCTTTTCTTTGCAGTCTTCCCCGATTCAACGTAAGAGAGGACTTCCCAGCCTCAATACTCCAGCCATATATCCATCCAATGTCCCTTCAACTCAAGCTCAGAGTCTGCCATGGTAGAAAGCTGTCGTCTTTTCACTATGGAACAATGCCTGAATATTTTGTGTTTATGGGTTCTCCAACCAAGTTCCACATTAACTAGACAGGTGTTAAGAGAACAATCTCTCTTCCTTATTCTTAGCAGCACCTACCATGAAACTGACCTTTATCTCATTGAGAACATATATATAAAGGTATTGTCCTAAATGTTACACCACAGACATATTGTAGTCCTCCTGCGTGTCAGTGGAAATGTTGCTTAGTTCGTTTATAAACTGTTGTGCAATGCATGTGAGTGCTAAATCGGTATAATATGACATTCCAGGTTATATAATTCAATGCAGCACAATTCCCAAACTATCAATTAACGAGCCTTTCTGCTACTTCCTTTAGAAATTATTTTGTTGAAGTAAAGGACTCTGGTTCTCTAAAACAGAGATCAAATAAAGGGAGACATTGCTAAAAGGATACATTTGGGGGCTTTCCCTAGAGGGGAACTCCCTTTCTGGACTGGAGTGGTAGCTTAATGAAGAAGCTTCATTAGTAATTCTGATGATTCTCTCTGCACTAGACACATCTATCCTGTTTATTACGCTCACTATGTTTTGTCTTTTGGGGCACTGGAAATCTAGTTTTGAAAAAGAGTTGAGTCTTTAACAATAACGGCAGTCATTTAAATGAATAGGAAATTGTTGTCGTTTTTTTCCTGCTGGAATTTTTTACTCAGCTCATCTTAAAGACACAAGGAGTGTTGGGCACAGAAAGGGCTGGATCAGGCAGACATATGCCAGATCAAAGTAGGAAACAGTCACCAGCATGAACCCCAGCACTCATTATTTGTGGGAAAAAGACTCACAGAGATTGACTTCTAGCAAGCTCATGACCTAATATGCCTCTAACCAAAAAGCACCTGTGCTCTTGAACTAACTCAGTAGCTGTACCAAAGTCCAGTAAAACTCATTCATTCTAACAAAGGTCAATCTGGCGCTCATAGAAGCTGTAGCTTATGTCATGGATCTTTAACTAATGTCACCTCTGAGCTCTTGGTCAGGCAGACCATCTGCTCTTAGAACCAGGATGGCGAACAGGCCCTGCTCTTTCTCGAAGTGCAGAAGTTAGAAAGGATGCAAAATTTTTAGGCAACTCCAGCACAACCTGGCTTATGTGAGAGACCTAATTAACCTCTGAATTTAATATTTTCTGATTGTTGCTTTCTAGGCTTTATAAAAAACAGATTAGCAAATTACCTAACAGCACGCCCAAGCATGAGACGACAGAGCAACTCAGCTGCTAACAGACACAGCCTGAGCACACCTGGTGTGGCATTATCTCCTTTCACATACAAGACGTTTTTAACCCTCACTGGGTGCAATTAGCTATTCCATTCCTCCTGTGAGAGTTAGAAGGGCTGAGTCTCAGAAACGCTTTCGCTCAGTCCCAAAGTCAGTGTGTGGCAGGTTCAGCAGTGGAATTCACATCCACTTGATTCCATGGCTTGAGTACTTTCTATCACATAGACAGGCCATCCCTACAAAAGGGAAGGTGACTGGGCCACAAGGGAATTATCCAGTGCATAACATCAAGAAATCTATCGGGTTGTGTAAAAGTGAGCTAGCGTAGGTGTGCTCTGCATCCCTCAGCGGTCAGGTGTATCCTCAAACTCAACTTCTCACAGGATAGGGGTCCATCCCCCCAGCTCTCTAGAGGCTGGGCAGCTGGCATTTCCAAGCACTCCTTTAAACAAGCAGCAGCAAAGCACAGGCAGGTGCTTGAGCCTAATGTGTGTTTTCCTCTGTGTAGGACTACTCTCACGCTTGCCTTGAAACCTGGACAGCAACAGCAAGGTAGAGATTCTCACCTACCCGCCAGACCCAGCATGAGTCCAACTGCAACCAGACTGAACCACACAGGATGTCAAGATCGCAGTGACAGATAGACCATCAACTTTCCAGACGCTCTTGAAGCGATCAGCCCCTTCGGCACACTATGGCCATCACTGCACCTCTGTGCAGGCTGTGACTGCCTGGCTAGGGCTGTTCTGAGCCAGGAACTTTAACCAGCAGATGGTTTCCATAAGCAAACACCAGGTGGGCAGAGCTACCTTGATGACTTTCTACTTACTGTTCAAAGGCCAATCACTTCCCCAAATGAGTTCCTGGGCCCAGAAAATCTCTCTGTAGGGTTCTAAAGACTTGTTTCTAAAAACAGCTAGAAGACTGAACTAATTATTTAATTAGATGCTTCAAAATAAACAATGCAAATATCATAAATCTTTTCATTTAACCACTGCTCTGCTTTTTAGTAAGTTGTGGCAAATAAAGCCACTGATATTTATTAGGGTTCAATAAGAGAGTTTCAGAGGCTTTAAAAGAGTTTTTAATTATCCCCATAAGGAAATGATGAGGCTTTCAGAGCTTAGAGCCATAGACCACACTTGGAGTGTTCTTCTGCTCTCTGCCAGACAGAACTACTTTAGGTAGGAGCTCAAATGCAGGCCATAGATGCATCCAGGATGAAAAGTAAAAGAATGTTTTTAACATTACACAAACCACCAGATTTCAGTCGGGACTAATGCATTTGAGGGACAATTGGGAGAAGCTCCAACTATTGCTTCTGGGATGCACCTGCATTAGTTCTCCAACTCACTCACCAGCATCTATCCCCTGCCAAACTCAAAGTGTCCTTCCAAATCACTTTGGAGATTTTGTTGATACACAGACTACGGTGACATCTAATCCAGGGAGTGAGTATCTTTGGTTTTTGGTGTTCTGTTTGTCAATAAAATGGCCAATAATTCATCATCTCTTCAACACTACTCAAGCATCTACTCTTCTAATGCTGCGTGGAGCAGAATTACTAAAACCACTCCCCTCTCCACGGATAGTCATCATCATTGTCATCACTGCCTAACCAGCTATACTCTTAGCTGCCTGTGTTAGGCCATATGCTGTGCTATGATGCCCTGCATACATTATCTCACTTAATCCTAACAGTTCCATGAGACGGACACCATCGTCATGGTCTTCACCGTATAGGAGGATGCAGAGGCTGAGCAGGGCTGCATGCCACAATCACACAGCTAGCAGGTGGCACAGCCTAGAACCTGTCCAGGTCTGTCAGCTCCAAAAACCAGACTCCCAGCTAGTCCAGCATGGCTCTCCACCTTTCCTGTGATTTAGCACAGACTGGAGCATGTTAAAGCTGATACTTACGAAGCCCTACCCCAGAGAGCCTCTCCCAGAAGGTCTGGGTGGGATCCAGGAATCTGCCCCTATAACCAGTGCCTGAGACGGTCCACGTACCACATACCATAAGGCACCAACCTATTTTGCACATTTCAGTTAATCTGGACGATTATCAGAATCCATGATAGAGGCTGACAGCTACAGCTGCTGAGCAGTGTGAGCATGGCCCTTCTGCAGCAGGTCCCCAGCTGCGCAGTGCTGATGGGGAGCACTGCCAGGCAATGCCTACTCCAGTGCCACCTCATTCAAACCTACTGCCAAGGGCTGTGATCCGACCCACAGCCTGGCCAGGCTGACCTGGTGTCATCTTCTGGCTGGTGGTGCATGTAATCCTGGCCCCGTATCCATGAATTCCATGGGGAACTAACTGTTGTGTATACCTACTGTATCACTCACGAAAGCCCTTCATCCCACAGGACAACCACTGCATGTCACTACTGAATCTTGTCTAGCTCTCATTTGCCAACTCCTGACCTTTCCCATGAAGTCTGGGATTTCTCATCAACGCAGCTGAGAAAATGACAGAAGGTCTGATGAAGGAATAACGAGGTATTCACTAACAAGATGTCCACTGATGAGACATCCTCTGATGGGAAGGGGGAGGCAGAATGACAAGATCTGTTGATAGATGCTGAGGCCAATGCATGACAGGCTAGCTGATGAAAAACTAATAAAGTACTAATAAGCAAAAGGAATGTATACTCCATAGTGTATCTTCTCTGAAGCCGAGACATTTGTTAGCACTAACCACTAGGGGTGAGACAGGACATGTGTAAGTCATTTCAGCAAGTCAGTGTTCAACCATCAATTAACTACCTCCTACCACGCATAAGTGCACTCGACAAACATTTACACAGCACGTATACTATGCTCAGCACGGTTCCAGGCACTAGAGAGATATAGCAATAAATAATATGACAGAATGGCCCTTCCTATCAGAATGTTTCAGAGCAGAGCTGGGGGACTTGGGCACGTAAAGATACATAAGATGAATTTCCTGCTATGGAGGTACACAGGGTTCACAGGGGAGGCGGGCAATGTAATTTTAATGCAGGGAAGAGTGATATCCTTGCCTCACTTCACCTTTATAATACTCCGTGAGATAAGCAATCAACCTCATCTCTACTGTTCAGATTTGAGAATTGAGGCTTGGGATGTTGAACTAATTGGCGGCATCATACAGCTATTAAGTAGAACTGGGGTATGGTAATCTAAATGATCCTATACTGAGTCAGCACAGTGCATGTAATATTATCAGCATAGGTATCCCTTGTGTTCTACTAGAAAAGATGTTTTAATTAAGTTTATTTAATTGAAAAAGAGATGCATTTGGGAAAATTTAATTCAAATATTATAGAATATTCAATAAAAAGTGAGTCTCCTGCCCATCGCAGGCCCTTCCTGAGAGATAATTGCTACCACTAATTTCGGAGAATATCTTTACCATAAAACTCTTAATCCACTATGTGTGCATCAGGCAAATAAAATTAATTATTTGGAAAGGCTGGAGTCAAGAAGAAGAAAAATTCTCAGAATGACAAGTAGGAACACACTTGCATTCCATGTTAATAATTTTTTTTCTTAAAACAGAAGAGAAAAAGCACTAAATACATTCACACCATGCTGTTTTCATCACCTGGGCCTTATGGACTTGTAAGAAATGTTGCCAGACTGATAAAAACACATCACTTTGTCCAGACAGGTCCTGAATGAGGAGTACATTGTTCAAGGGCCTTTCCAGAGTGAGTTTCCACTGGACGGTTTCTTCTTCTTGCTCTCTCAGGCCAAGGACTGTGTCTAGACGTTGCCTGCCTTGGAACAGGGCCCTGGCTGCTTATCAGGGACAATTAACACCTGCGGTAATAGCAGGTAGGTGCCTTCTTTCCTTGCGAATGTACATCTGGACTGAGGCTAAATGGGAAAACCACACATCCACTCCATAGGTTAAAAATCTCACATCCTCACTGGGCTAAGACCCTCAGTTCCAGCAGCTAAGGGCTCAATATGGATTCAGCACTTACCCAAGAGTCCCTATGTCGTGGTCTTCCGTATGTAGTGATCTTAGAAGAGCAATATGAAAAGAGGAGGCTCTAATGATCCTTTTAAGCAGGATGGAGGGACCTGCATTGAGCAGGTATCTCTCTAGGCAAAGGTGCCAACTGAGCTAATAAAAAGAACTCACACAGCAGAGATCACGCCACTGCACTCCAGCCTGGGTGACAGAGCGAGACTCCGTCTCAAAAAAAAAAAAAAAAAAAAAAAAAAGAACTCACACAACTTCCATGGATTTCAGTCGTCACGTTTCTAAAATGCCCGGCAAAGTGCAAGAACTCAGTAAATATTGGCTAGCTGGTTGGTTGGGATAGAGATCTTTAATACATGACCACTTTAACATTCTAAGAATGGAAACCCTACTGTGTTGATAAACAGCACATGTTTGTTTTATATCTTTTCATGCAGCCTCAATCCACTAAACAATCTCCCTGGGTGGGGGGGCATGTGAGACCCAGAGCTGAACCAGCATTTAAGTGTCCTTATCATATCAGTTTCTGGCTCAAGCACTCCAAGTGACAGCTAGAAAGACTGGCACAGCAGGCCAGCGGGCACAGGAGGCTGGGGCAGGAGGCACTGTCAAGCTCAACCCTGTAGACCAGTCTGAACAAGGAGGTTCAAGCCAGAAGGTTCCTAATGGACCACAGTGACCAAAAAGTAGGAATTTATTCCACAAGCACCAAGGAAGCAGCATCCCATAATATGTGCTGGTGCCAGGTCCTAAGCTGGATGCCTTGCCCATTGAGGCATTCCCAGTGGTTGGAAAAGAGGATCTGTAGAAACAATGCAAATACAGCATGTTTTCTTTTGTTCGCCCCCTCCCCCCCGCCCACCCACCTGGTCCTTAAAGCATTTCCTGGTTCTTAACTGCTTATTTAGAGAAAATGGTTTAAGGTTGTAAATTTTTCTTTTTTTCTTTTTTGATTAGGCATTCACAGTTATGTCTTAGAAATGAATGGCTGAAAATGAGGTATGCAAGCTGGGGAGAGTAGCTAGAAGATGCTCATGACAAGGTAAATTGCATATTTAGGAGGCAGAGACAAAGATAGACAGACTGATCAGCCTTGCTCTCGATGACAGTCCTCGAAGGGAAATGAACAGCCAATGTACAAAGCCCTCCAACTACCCCAGACTCAGCAGGAGACAGAGCATCCCAAGTTGCCAAGGCAACAGCAGCTGAGCATGAGATGAATACAAGCGTACAAGCGTGTGTGCACACAGGCAAGGTACCAGCACTCATGCACAAACACCTTCCGGTACACAGGGACAGACCTAAAGAGAACGTTCTCTGCTAAGAGACAGATTTCTAACAGTTTCTCTGGGTACATCTCAAAAGTGCTGATGGCTGTTGCTTCAACGAAGCCTTTTAAACACAATAATACAGAAAATAATTAAATTAGTATAACTGACCCTCAACTTTAATTAGCATAATCAACTCTCAACTTTAACAAATTCTGTGACATTGCCTTTAGGTCTCTTATTATTTTGATTCCTTTTTTTTCTGCATTCAACAGCATTTAATACATTCACCTTATGCAACCACCACCTATAGATATATTGTTCCAAAACATTTGCATGACCACAAAGAAAACACATACTCATTAAGCAGTCACTCCCCAGATTCTTTTTTTTTTTTTAAAAAAAAAGGAAAAAAACATTACAGAGTTAAAGCCTCCTTTTCGCTCCAGCTCAATTTAACTTGCCCCCACTTCCCTTCCCAGAGGATATTGTTCTCTGGAACTTCTAGATGTCTTTCACAGGCATGATTTCATAACTGTGGGTGTGCTTGTATGTATACATGAATGTTTATATGTAAATATACATGTTTTGTATATCTATACACACATGCCCACAATTATAAAATCATATATAAAATCATATATATGTCCAAAGATAATTTAAGGTGCCATTTTGTGGTTTTAAAAAATGTTACACAAAAGGAACATTACTTAGCTGAGACTTTTATCTGACTCAACATTAAGTTATTCAAATGTATCTAATCCATTCATTTAATTGCCATATAGTATTCTATCTTATACATATCAAATACTTTTTAAATCTACTCTCTTCCTGATGGACATTTAGACTGGTCTCAGTTTTTAACTCTGACAAACAATGCCCCAGTGAACATTCTTAGGTTTCCTCCTGTATCTATGGTTTTCGAGAGTATATTTGTATTTGTAGATTTGCTGACTTGTAATAGAAAATGCCACTTATTTTCCAAAGTGATCTTACAATTTTTTTTCTCAGAGACAGGGTCTCTCGCTCTGTTGCCCAGCTAGAGTGCAGTGGAGTAATCATAGCTCACTGCAGCCTTCAACTCTGGGCTCAAGCAATCCTCCTGCCTCGGCCTCCCGAGTACCTGGGACTACAGGCATGCACCACTGCCCCTGGCTAGCAGCACTGTGTGAAAATCCTCACTTCCCTGTATTTTTGCCACCCCTTGGTGTTCTCAGATTTTAATTCTTCCCAATCTGAAAGGTGTAGGACAGTATCTCTTTGTATTGTTTTAATTGCACTTTCTTGACTACTAGTGAGGTTGCGCATGTTTTTTATGCTCATTACCCATTCAGTTTCCTCACCTCTGATTTCTCCCTCTTCCTATTTTATACCCATTTTTCTATGGCATAGCCTTTTTTCTAATTTTTAGGAATTCTTAAATATTCTGAATATTAATCGTTGATTGGTTATGTGTAGCACAAATCTTCTGTCCATATGTGTCTTTTTATTTTTTAATTTTTAAAATAATTTCAATTTTTATTTTAGATTCAGGATATACATGTGCATGTTTGTTACACAGGTCTATTGTGTGATGCTGAGGTTTGGGTTATGAACGATCCCATCACCCAGGTGGAGAGCATAGTACCCAAGAGCCTTTCACCCTTTTCCCCACACCCTACCCCCACTGTAGTCCCCAGTGTCTATTATTGCCGACTTTACGTCCACGAGTACCCAATGTTTAGCTTGTACTTACAAGAAAAGAACATGTGGTATTTGATTTTCTGTTCCTGCATAATTTGCTTAGGATAATGGCCTCCCGCTGCATCCATGTTCCTACAAAGGACATGACTTCATTCCTTCTAACGGCTGCTCGGTATTCTATGATGTATATGCACATTTTCTTTACCTAATCCACTGCTGATGGGCACCTAGGCTGAGTCCATGTCTTTGCTATTGTGAATCGTGCTACAATGAATATACACGTACATGTGTCTTTTTAGTAGAGCAATTTCTTTTCTTTTGGATATGTACCCAGTAATGGGATTGGTGAGTTGAATGGTAGTTCTGTCTTAAGTTCTTTGAGAAATCTTCAAACTGCTTTCCACAGTGGCTGAACTAATTTACATTCCCAGCAACAGTGTATAAGCATTCCCTTTTCTCCATAGCCTTGCCAGCGTCTGCTGTTTTTTGACTTTTGGTAACAGCCATTCTGACTGGTATGAGATGGTATCTCGTTGTGGTTCTGATTTGCATTTTTCTGATAATTAGTGATGCTGAGCATTTTTTCATATATTTGTTGGTTGCTTGTACATATTCTTTTGAGAAGTGTCTGTTCATGTCTTTTGCCCACTTTTTTTTTTATTTTTGAGGCAGAGTCTCACTCTGTCACCCAGGCTAGAATGCAATGGCTCGATCTCGGCACGCTGCAACCTCAGCCTCCCAGGGTCAAGTGATTCTCGTGCCTCAGCCTCCTGAGTAGCTGGGATTACAGGGGTGCGCCACCACATCCAGCAAACTTTTGTATTTTTAGTACAGATGGGATTTCACCATGTGGGCTACGTTGGTCTCGAACCCCTGACCTCAGGTGATCTGCCTGCCTTGGCCTCCCAAAGTGCTGGGATTACAGGCATGAGCCACCACACCTGACCTTGCCCACTTTTTAATGAGGTTGTTTTTTGCTTAATGAATTAAGTTTCTTATTAATTTTGGATAACAGACCTTTGTCGAATGCATAGTTTGAAAATATTTTCTCCCATTCTGTAGGTTGGCTGTTTACTCTATTGATAGTTTCTTTTGTTATGTAGAAGCTCTTTAGTTAATTTGTTTTTGTTTCAATTGCTTTTGATGACTTTGCCATAAATTATTTCCCAAGGCTGATATTCTGAGTGGTGTTTCCTAGGTTTCTTTCCCTAGGATTCTTATAGTTTGAGCTCCTACATTTAAATATTTAATCCATCTTGAGTTAATTTTTGTATATGTTGAAAGATAGGGGTCCAGTTTCAGTCTTCCGCATATGGCTCATCAGCTATCTCAGCACCATTTATTGAATAAGGAGTCCTTTACCCATTGCTTATTTTTGTCAACTTTGTTGAAGATCAGAGAGCTGTAGGTGTGGAGCTTTATTTATTGGTTCTCTATTCTGCTCCACTGGTCTATGTAGTCTGTTTTTGTATAAGTACCATGTCATTTTGGTTATTATGTCTTTATAGCATAGTTTAAATTCAGGTAATGTGATGCCTCTGTAGCTTTGGTCTTTTTGCTTAGGATTGCTTTGGCTATTCAGGCTCTTTATTGGTTCCATATAAATTTTAGAATAGGTTTTTCTACTTCTGTGAAAAATGACGTTGGTAGTTTGACAGGAATAGTGCTGGATCTGCAGATTGCTTTTGGCAGTATGACCATTTTAACAATATTGATTCTTCCAATTCATGAGCATGGGATGTTTTTCCATTTGTTTGTGTCATCTATGACATCATTCAGCAGTGTTTTGTAGTTTTCCTTCTAGAGATCTTTCACCTCCACGGTTAGAGGCATTCCTGGGTATTTTGTGTGGGTGTGGATGTAGCTATTGTAAATGTTATTGCATTCTTGATTTGGCTTTTGGCTTGAATGTTATTTGTGTATAGAAATGCTACTGATTTTTGTACATTGATTTTGCATCCTGAAACTTTACAGAAGTCATTTATCATTTCCAGGGACCTTCGGGTGGAATCTTTAGGGTTTTCTAGGTGTAGAGTCACATCACGAGTGAAGAGAGACAGCTGGACTTCTTTTCCATTTGGAAGACTTTTATTTCTTTCTCCTGCCTAATTGCTCTGGCTAGGACTTCCTCTCTTGTCTTTTAACTTAGTTTATGGTGTCCTTTTATAATTTTAATGCAATCCAGTTAGATTACATTAAGAGTTTCCCTTAGGGTTTTTGTGTTTTTTCACTATACATTTTAAATTTTTGGCTTTTCATACTCAGGATGTTAACCATCTAGATATATTTATACTGTGGTATGCAGTAGGGATCTGATTCTTTTTGTCCCTTTCATTTGCTAACAGTTTAAGCACCATTCATTAAATGAATCATTTTTCCTCATTAATTGTAGTGTTGTTGCTCTCATTTAGCTGTCTGTATATGTATGGGTTGGTTTTTGAGCACATTAGGCAGTTCAAATAACATCTATTTCTATATCCCTGTGCCAATACCACATGTATTAATTACTATAATTTTTAATCCTGATAACTATCAGGATAAGTTCCCTCCTGTATGATCCCCTTACACGAAATTATGTTAATTATTCTTGGTCATCTACTTTGCCACATGAACTTTTAGAGTTATCTTATATAGTCCCCAACCCCCATGAAAATCCCTATTTTGTTTTTATTGCAATGGAAGTGAAATTACAGGTATATTTGGGCAAAAAAAAATGTTTATGATACTGAATCATCCCATCCATGAATATGGTATATTTTACCCTTTGTTTAAATATCTTATTTTATGCTTTTCAATAGAGCTGTATAATATTCTTGATAAAGATCTTATCTTTGTCATATTTTTTCCTTAGATACCTTATGGTTTTGATTACTAGCATAAATATTTACTTTCTTAAACAATTTTCATTTGCCACTTATTTTTGCTTATCTATAGAAATGCTAAGATTTTTGTACACTGATGTTGTAGCTGTTAAATCTGAATACTGATAGTTTTAAAATTATCTCTTTTTTAACATTGATAATCTTATCTGCAAATATGGGCAATTTTGTTTGTTCTTTTCTAATCTTATTTTGTTTCCTGCCTAAGTATAGCTAGAACATCCAGTGTAATAGTAAATGAAAAAGGTAAAAGAGAGCATCCTTAAATCATTCCTATTATAAAGGTTCACAATTAAGTATGATATTAACCATGTGTTTGGTTCTTGAATATTTTTGTAGACATTCTTTATCAGAATAAGGAAGTTACCTTCTATGTCTAAATTTCTATGAGTATTGCTTTGTAATATTTTCTTGTTTTTAATCATGAATTCATATTATACTTTATGAACTTTTTTTTTTCCATCTTGTGTATACAGACATGTACAAGTTTTTTTTTTTTTTTTTTTCAAGAAAATCTTTCAAGGTATGTATAACTTTTTTCCTCCAGGGTCAGAAACACAGACTTAAAAGGACTAAAGCTTCAGTTTCACAGCCAAACTAGGTCTGAGCATCCAAGGCTCTGTCTGCTCTCCCCACTAGGGACTTCTGCAGACCTCACAAGAATATAACTACTCTATGATTGTCTGCCAAAATGTCTTCACATTGTCTTAGTCCAAAGTTATCACTAAGTTTCCACTGCAAAACAAAATCTATTCTTGTGTGAGTCTGAATTCCTAACCATTAGCTTCCTATGACACTAGCTGTCCAATATAATCATTATCAAGGGAAAGGGAAATGATACTGATGCATGGTACCCCACATTATCCCATGGGCTCCTCACAAGGAATCAATGAGGTCAGCATTATTTGTATTTTACATGCAAGGACACTAAGCCTTAAGGTTAAATAACTTGTCCGAAGTCTCACGTCAGATAGCACTGGCAGTGGGATTTGAACCCAGGTCTCTGTGCCTTCCTCTGCTTATGCTGCTCTCCCGTAAATCACCACCCACATCCAACAGCATCACCTCTGGCTCCACAACACATACTTCACAGAGCCAGCAGAGCCGCTCCACTTCGTAAATTAGTGGTTGGGATTCAAAACCACCCACTCTGTAGAGTGTTGTGCATAATGTAATTAAACACAGAATATCATTCATTGTAGTCTACAACCTAACAATGAAGGCCAGGAGATGCTCATGTAAAGGATTTTTCCTACGTGGGAATGAGGGCAGGGTCCCAGACAGGAGTCTCCTTCTGAGAGCTGTGAGTACCTGTGCTGCGATGCCAGGCACAACTCTCCTAGGCTCCGACAGCAGCAGCATCCAGGCAAGGCCCATGTCTGCAGGGGCCCTACAGAGGACAGAGTTCCCCATCAGTGGTGATGAGCAGGCTGTGCAGAGCAAGGGAAGGGAACTCAGGTGTACTGATGCCCAAGCTAGAGGGCTTTCATGCATTATCTCATTTAATCCTCAAAAATCTCTCCAAGTGGGAAGTAATGGTTTTACAGATGATTGTACAGAAGCTCCAATAAGTGATTTATCTGAGATCTCCACTTGAGTGGTAACAGCACTGGATTCTGAAGGCAGTTCACTCTTCTCTTAACTTAACCCTGCACTTCATCAATCACCTGATTTTATAACTGATTTTCTAAAACATGCTCCTCCTTAAGGACAACACAACGTAGCTGCTGAGGGCATGGACTCTGGCCAGGCTGCTTAGTTCATTTAAAAAAAGCAGATTCTGCTAAGGGGTAGACTGCTTGCTCAATTCAAATTCCAGCTCAACATTTTACCAACTGTGACTTTGGGCTAGTAATTTAAACATCTCTATATATCCATAAAAATTAAAAGTAAAACATTTTTACAAAAAAAAAGACAAAATTTTAAAAAGTAAATATAATCTCTGGGCCTCAGTTTCCACATGTATAAAATGAGAGTAACAACAGTACCTACTTTGAAGAGTTGTTATGAGGATTCATGGGTTATTATTTGCAAAGGCCTTAAAACAAAGCCTGGCACACATAAAGACTATGTATTAGTTATGTATTGCTACATAATAGATTATCTTAAAACACGGAGGCTTAATACAATAAACATTTATCATGTCACGCAAATTTTATAGGTCAGGAATTTAAGTGGTTCTAGCTGTGGTCTCTGATGAAGTTGCAACCAAGACATCAGCCAGGGCCACAGTCATCCGGAGGCTTGCCTGGGGCTGGAAGACCTGCTTCCAAGGGGGCTTCTTTTCATGGCTGGAAAGTTGGGGCTGGTTGTTGGCAGGAAGGCTCAGCTCTCCATGCGGTCCTTTCCACAGCCTGCTTAGGTGTCCTCACAACATGGTGACCAGCTTCCCTCCAGAGCAAGCGATCCAAGAGAGCAGGGTAGAAACAGCAACATCTTTTACGATCTAGCCTTGGAGTTACAAATCATTAATTCCATATTATCTTATTGGTTATACAGGTCAGCCTTATTCATTATGGGAGAGGACCAAACAGGGGTATGCACACCAGGAAATGAGGATTACTGGGAGCTAGTCTTGCAGGCTGGCTACCATGGACCAAGTCTATTAAATTAAAAACAAAAATGGATCTTCACTATGCCTGCATTCTAAGTGTCTGGAATATCATGATAAAATCAATAAATATTTATCTGAAGAATGGATGTGTGGATGAAAAGAGGAAATGCCCATGTCATCCCAACCAAGTTCCATTTGGCTCTCCTTTGTTTTACTATCTACTTTCTGAGCCATTTCCAAGGAAGGAAGTATTTGCTCTCAATTTCTACTCTAAGTCATTATCTCTATAAATTAGTTCTCAAATTTCATCTTCATTTAAGGTGTCTGGAGTGGTAACTTCAAACCAAAAGTGCTCTGTAACTTTCTCTTTCATCTAAATATATCAGCATGAAATACTTCCTCTGAATTCGGAAGGCTCAAAACAAAGACAACTGAAATTTTATGTGTTGGTTGAAATGTTTGTACTAATGCAATTCGTACAAAGACTAGTATGCATCCAGAGACAATTGTGGGCAAGCTCCTTCTTGCACAAAGGCAGAATTTCTGCTTCCTCTTCTCCCAATCAGTGCTGTACTTAGGAGATAAGACTGGCTGAAACCAAGTGGAGGCTGCTTACTGAAGCCAGTGAGTCTAGACACACGCCAGAAAGGTTGTACCTAATGACTTAAGAAATGACCATCTTTATAAGGGGCCCTGGATTCCCTTCAAGGTTCCTTAGACTCTTGTTTCTCAAAATCATCATACTTGGCAGCTTTTTTCACAACAGATCCATGCCAGAGAGTTCAGATATGGGGAAATGCCACTGCAATAGCCCTAGGATGACCTTTCCAATAATGTTGACAGTTCAACCCAGGATTATAATTGTGCCATTGCCTTAACTCACCAGAGTTGGGACCCTTGGCTCCTGGAGAGCACTAATGGTATGTATCTTCCAAGATGCTAAAGCTGTCACTGAGAACATTAGACAGGAGTTAAACAGGTATGACTGACAGTCCTGAGAAGCTGTGTCCCTTCTGGTAGCAAGGGAGCATAAATGACCACATCTTGACTGTTACTGGGCAAAGAGAGGCCTAGCGACAGCACAATGATCCATGTACACAATACTGCATGCCAGATGGTTGACATCTTACTACGGGGAGATGCTAACATGGTTTAGAAGGATCACTGGCTTCCCGTTTTAACCCTCAACAGATCCTTGAGCATATCAACGATGCAGTAGTAAGGAAACACACAAATCATGTAGTCAGGGTCAAGAAAGGAGTCACTGGCGGTCATAACCTTCACGAGGTCAGAGCTGATAATAACTCTAGAACGCTGCTTCCCAGTATGAATGTGCAGTGAAAGCCGGTAAATATTGGGTGGAAGTGCTCATCGTTAGCAGCGTAGTGCATTTGCTAAGTCTTGATTGAATGATGAAGTGGTCAATGAGTTCAGAACACTCCTCCCCATTTTACAGTGGCTTCCTTGATGCTCATTTTGTTTTAAATGCTTATAGACAAAACACTCACCTTGACATTTGCCTTTTAGAAGGGCAACAGCATGATAAATCCAAAATGGAAGCTAACCTTGAAGTATGGATTAGAACTTAAACTGTGAACTCCTGTGGCACAGGGTAGAGCTCCAGAGAGAAAAGTCCCTTAAGGGATTATTGGAAGCCATGCACGATGGACTTATGAAAGTCTATCAATTATCACTCTGGTGCCATCCCAGCAATTCTTTTCTATCTATTTCTTTTTGTCATATTTGGACTCACCATTCTCAGATTTACTATCTTTGACTTTGGATTACCCCCAATTCAACTTATCTAGCTCTACACAAGCATAATGAATAAAATCCCACTTCATTATATGTGCATGTAATTAATTCTTGTTCCTCATCCAGAGCTGGGCTGCGCGGGACAGCAGCCACTAGTCATATGCGGCTAGTCTAAATTGAGATGTGCGTTTAGTTTTGTAAAGCATAAAGACTTACATGCAAAAACAGAATGTGAAATCTCTCATTAGTGATTTTTCTTATTGGTTACACATGTTGAAATGATATTTGGGAAATCTTGACTAAATTAAAAATATTAAAATTAATTTCATCTGTTCTCTTTTAACTTTTGAAACATGGCTACTAGAAAATTTTAGATCACTCAAATGTCTTGCGTATGTCTACTGGATGGCACTGAGCCAGATGTTCTAAATCAGAAATTGTACACTGGCAGCTGAGGCCCACACAGGACTAACAGACACAGTTTGTATGATCTGCACAATGTTAGCCTAAAAGGTGATTTTAATTTCAAACAACTGTTAACACATATAAAATTGGGCAATTTTTTTTTTTGAGACATGGTTTCGTTCTGTTGCCCACACTAGAGTGCAGTAGTGCCATCATGGCTCACTGCAGATCTCCTGGGTTCAAGTGATCCCCCACCTCAGCCTCCTGAGTAGCTAGGACCATAGGTGCACACCACCCTGCCTAATTTTTTGATTTTTTTGTAGACACAGAATCTTACTATGCTACCCAGGCTGGTCTCGAACTTCTGGGCTCAAACAATCCTCCCACCTCAGCCTCCCAAAGTATTGGGATTACAGGCGTGAGCCATTGCACTTGGCCAAAATCAGGCAATTAAAAACAAACATACCCTGCATTCTTTTTAAAAATAAAGAAATCTGGTAACACTGGGCCCACACACCTACATGGCAAGGATGGCCTGGTGCTTAGTAGGAAGTGCCCGCTTTGCTGCTGCACCAGCTCCCCAGCTCTTCACTGTCCCCACGGGCTCTACTGCTCCTCAACACTGAGGCCAAGGTCAGCTGCCATTTTGCACCCTATTCCCAGCCAGCAACACACATGCAAATTCCTCTCCTCGCTTCTGGAGGCATTTGAGTTTAAGAGCTGTATTCTAGAATGGGGGATGGCAGGGGGCATTCTAGGCAACAGCAAATGCGTCAGGAAGGGTCTGATCATGGTATGTCCAAATTAGAGAAAATATCTGGAAAGGCAGGAGGGTTTCAAGCAGATGTGCTCAACATAGGGATTTTTTTTTTTTTCTTGAGGCTGAACATCTAAGTGGAAACGTCCCAGGGGCATTTGGTAATACACAACTGAGTATATACTGGAAGAAGTTGGAGGTTAAGAACAGTGCCCTAGGAACACCCAGAGGCAAGAGGGTTAAGAACAGTGCCTTAAGGACACCCAGAGGCAAGAGGAAGAGAGATGAAATGAAACCAGTTCAGGAGTCTGAGAAGGATGGTCAGAGTCAAGAGGGAGGTGTGCTGAGAGAGTGAAATGTAGGAAACCAGGCTTCCCAGAGAAGCAGCCAACAGCAGGCACTAAGTAACACCAGTTCTTTGCTAGAACCCACAGTGGCCCTGGTGCTCCTCTTGTCATAAGAGCATTGCTTTAATTCTGGCAAAGTTGCATGAGAAAGAAGAACAAAAATCTATTAAAAGCAATTTCACAAAACTCTAGCTCTGACATTTCTTCAAAATAAATGCTGCCTTTCCGTGCCCTACATTGTAAATAGTCCCACTATTCAGTGACTGCCTCCAAAGAAAAAAACTGCCCATTTCCCTCATCTTAAAGCACCATCTCTTCCGCCCTCCCGCCATCATTTTAAAAATCTATGGTATGCGAAGGATAGAAGTGGTAAGCAATGCATTTGAAAATACACTACATGGACTGAGCTCATGGGTCATCTGACAGTGGATTTTGAAATATTCTAGATGATTAGGATTCTACAGCTAATCTTTTCAAGGCAAATGGAAGAAGTTTTCATTCTCATAATCTTTCTACTCTCTTGGCAAATATTTCCCCAAGTGATTATGTTAGAACTGAGGATTCAGACTAATTCTGTCCTCTAATTCATTTGATAATCTATCACTGTGACTAAAATATAATGGAGATGACAGATGCTTATGGATAACTATTTTGTGATATTCATGTCCCTGAGTTGGTATCAGCAAATTGCTTTTTATTAGTAGCTAAATAATACTTTGGTTCTTCCACGAAATGATTAATCTAAGTAGAGCCAAATGTGGACTTGCCTGTGATGCAGAGCAACGAGGTAATGGAAAGCTCAGGACTTCTCATTATGGTCTTATTTGTACCATGACTCTGCAACTCTTTTCCAAATATCAGTTATTTGAGCCCTCTATGTTCTTGTTATTGGTTGTGATTGCATCCTATTCATTTTTATAGACTGAGAGATCTGGAATGTTTTTTACTAAATCATTCAATCACGCAATCCATATTTACTACGGACATACAATCCATAAGTATCTGCTCACATGTGGGCTGGAAACGGGGGCCACAAAACTGCAGAAGGTAAGGCTGATGCCCCAGAGTTGCTCACACGATAGGAAGGGGACTATGTATGTTACAGATTATAATACAGTACGTTAAGGGCTGCAGCAGGAGTCCATATAAGGTACAGAAAGAAGATGGAACAGGGAAGATAGAGAAGACAAGAGCCTAAAGAGGAGGTGGCAGCTGAGTGGGGTCCTAAGCAAGAACACACATTTGCGGCAGGTTAATAGAGGACACTTATGCGAAGGCACAGTGGAATAAACAGCAATGGGCTTATCTGCGAGTGATGGTCCCTGTAGTTTCTGCAGGAAAAGGGCAGTGTCAGGAGATGAACCAATTCAAGAAGAGTCAGGTTACGGAGAGCCTAATTTTGATATCCCCACAAGGAGACACAAGAGACTGGCCAAACTAGTCAAGGACACCAAGTTAAGTATGAGAGAGAGATGAAAACTGTACACATAGTTGATGTGCTTTTCCCCTCATTCTTTTTGCAGCCATGATTGGACTGTATCCTACCTCGCTCTGCATTAGTAGGATTTATGGTCTGTCCTTGCGTTAACTGTATGAAACTGAAGCATAAAGCTGTTGTGTGCATATATGAGTGATGCAATGAAATAAACCTGTGAATTTTCAAAGCCTGGTTCCTGGACCAGCAGCATCAGCATCACCTGGGAACTTGTTAGGACTGCAAATTTTCAGGCTCCACCTTAGAGTTATTACAAACTATAAGCACAGTGACCAGCAATCTGTGGTGGAACAAGCCCTCCAGGTGATTCTTATTCCCCTCAAGTTCAAAAACCACTGAAAAGGACCCACAGGATTTTGATTATTTTACTAATTGATCTGCACGTTTCCTTTTTATCGTGTCTCATGCTGAACCATCCCATGTAATCAAGTTTTCCTTGGGCTCACTGAATTTTTAATTTCTTTAAATAAAATAAAATAACATTTAAAAATAAAATTAGTTTTATTTTTAAATGTTAATTTATTACGTTCACTTGTTATTTCATTAATGATGCTACACTTCTCATCTATGTCTTTATTGATTGATTGCGACAGGGCCTCACTCTGTCACCCAGGCTGGAGTGCAGTGGTGCAATCACGGCTCACTGCAGCCTCCTCCTCCCCCCACCATGCCCGGCTTATTTTTTTTGTAGAGACGAGGTTTCGCCACATTGCCCAGGCTGGTCTTAAACTCCTGAGCTCAAGCGATCCAGCCGCCTTGGCCTGCCCAAGTGCTAGAATTATAGGCGTGCACCACCGCACCCAACCCTACGCCATTTTTCAAAAGTATATCTCCTTGCTATCAGCCCCTAGAAAAGCCTGCATCTGTAAGTGATAAAACACAATTATCTGTCAGGTGACAAAGAATGGTACAGACATGGGTTTGTAAATCAAAATAAATTTGACACAAGTGTTCTTGAATGGATTCCCTTAATCCTTTGCCGGCAAATCCCACATCCTCCACGTGGCCACGAGGACCCCTCCTTTAGGTATTTAAATATCCCTTGTGCCTGCTGACTGATTATATCTTTTAAGACTCAGGAAAACTGCTATTTTTCTTCTGAGCTCTTTGAGAATCCATCAAATGTCAGAATGTCATTTGAGCTGCGACCACAATTAATTATTATTATCTTTTTTTTTTTTTTTAGACAAAGTCTCGCTCTGTCGCCCAGGCTGGAGTGCAGTGGCGCCATCTCAGCTCACTGCAACCTCCGCCTCCTGGGTTCAAGCAACTCCCCCTGCCTCAGCCTCCCTAGCAGCTGGGGTTACAGGTGCCCGCCACCACACCCGGCTAATTTTTGTAGCTTCTAGTAGAGACGGAGTTTCATGATGTTGGCTAGGCTGGTCTCGAACTCCTGACCTCAGGTGATCCACCTGCCTCAGGCTCCCAAAGTGCTGGGATTACAGGCATGAGCCACTGTGCCTGACTTTATTATTAACAAAACAGGCTTCTCATCAATAATACATAAATTCCAAGAGAGCAAGAACTTTGTCTTGTTCACCGTTGTATCCCCAGAGCATAATACATCACTTGACACCTGACACATGATAGGTGTTCAGTAAATACGTGTTGAATAAACAAGTTAATTCATTAGCACCTACTGAACACTAGGCTCTAGGAATATGGGGGAAAAAAAGGCAGATGTATGCTCCCCCTTCATGTGGCACCTACCGACACAACGCAAAGAACTGGGTTTTGTTCCCTTATTATCTGATTATTGCTGCCACTCTTCTCAACTATACGGTTTTTAAAACCTGCATCACCTTCCTAGAAAATGTCAAATCTGTAAGCGATAAAAAGCAACTTCTGCTCAGGTTGCAAAGAATCTTTGGGGCTGTGAAGCCCCAAAGATGAGTAAGAAATGGTCCTTGCCTGTGTCCCTGCCTGGATACACTGAGATGGACAGCATCTGACCATGGCCACCACCAACCTTCCTCTCTCTTGACCGCTGACAGCTACCAGAATTTATGGGCAAAGGTACAAATGGAGATACCCTTCTCCCCATATGCCTTGACATTAAAAGTTTAAATTCAACCTAACAAACTTAAAATATGTTCTATCTTCCTATTTTTACAAATATATCTTCATAACAAAATCAAAACTATGAAAAAGCAACAGTTCATATTAAATAGCTATGGAGAGTACAAACCCAAATTAACTTCATTTCGCACCAAAGGCCATGATCCCCTCTGGGGCTGCCCTGTCCAGGAGGTTAACCAATGCAGCTGGTCTGAACTGAGGTGCGCTGGAAGTGTCAACCCACATCTGATTTTGAAACCTAGTTTTTTTTTTTTTTTAAAAGAATGTAAACGTCTCACTAGTAATGTTCACATTGATCACTTACTGAAATTATATTTTGGCTCTATTAGGTCAACATAAAATGAATTTTACTTCTTTCTGCATACTTTAAAAAAAAATGGCTACTAGAGAATTAAAATGACACCTGTCACTCATACTACCTTTCTTTGGGACAGTGAGCTCTAGGAGGCAGGCAAGGATGGAAGGAAAGGATCCTGCTGCCAATAGGCACCCACAGCCACTTCCCCATCTCCCTAATCTTATCTCCCCGGAATCCCATGGGGTGAACACCCACCTTTTGTCCTCTTCCCCAGGAAGCCAGGGAGGCTCTTTACCCCCTGACCCAGGCTCAGCTGCTTGCCCACCATCACACCCCTACCTGGACAGTAGCCGAGGAAAGGGCAAATATAGGCCGAGCATGGTGGCTAGCAGGTACTCCCTCATCTCTCAAAAAGCCATGCCACTCAGCCTCTGCCCACCAGGTGCTCCCAGAGCCCACCTCCACTGGTTTCACCTTGTCACGCTCCTCAAGGGAATGTAAACTCAGAGGACCAGATCCAAATGTGGAATTCCCAGCCTCCTTGGCACTGGAAGCCTGTTACAAGGGGGAGAGCCATACCCTGGTCATGGCACCCTCTTCCCCCAACCCAGGGCTCCATCCTGCTCCTCGAAGGCCTCCCCCACCTACACGTAGACTAGGAAGCCCACAGGAACCAGCTCCGTGCACTCATTCCTCCTTCCGTCCTGTCTCTGATGAGAAGCATCTCTTGGCCACCCCTTCAGGCCACCTTCTGCAGGACAAGCAGGCCCTGGAAGTGGTCCTGTGGCCCTTTGCAAGCAACCACCCTCCAGAACTGGCACACTCCTGAGGAGCACTAGTGCAGGGCCCTCTGTGACACAGGGCCTGAGGGACCCCATTGTCTGACGTAAGGACCATGCTGACAGTATCCACCAGAACAGCTAAAGCTAAAAAGACGACACTAATACCAAGTGTTGGTGAGCGTGGAACTGCTCCTCAACCCGTGCTCATTAGGAAACGTACACTGACACTTTTGGGCAGTATTACTAACAATGAACATACCTCATGACTCAGCAATTCCACTCCTAGGTGCGCATCCCACATAAATGTGGGCATATGTTCACCAAAACCCAGGGACAGTAATGCTCACAGAGACACTATTCATGATAGCCACAAACTGGACACTACACAAATGCCCTCAATAGTAGAAGGAATAATGAAACGGGGCTGTCACAGAATGGAGTGCTGCACTTAAACAGAATAAACTACAACTACATGTGACAACATGGATCAATCCAACAAAGAGAATGTACTGCAAAAGCAGCCAGACACCAGAGAATAGATGCCATCATTTCATTCACATAAAGCTCAAACACAGGCAAAAGTAATAAAAGGTAACAGATATCAAAAGAGAGGTTACTTTGGGCGTTACTTTGGGAAAGAAGAGGGTGGGAGTGACTTGGAGAGCCACGATGGGGGCTTTGGGAATGTTCTATCCCTTGATCTGGGTGGTGGTCATATGAGTGTGTAAATTTTGTGAAAATTCATGTTGTTCACTTATGATCTGAGATGAAGCACTTATGTGCTTCTCTCTATGTATGATCTACTTAAGAAAAAATTTCACTTAAAAAAAGATTACTGCAAAAAAAAGTGTGAGTTGAAGATAATAATACAAACACAACACCAAAAAATGGCAGGGCCTCTCATTCCCCTAGTAAAAGCTTTTGTCAGCCCTACCATAAAGTTGAAAAGCAATGACAATTCAGCAAACAAATGTGAAATGATGGATAAAATAACTGGAAATATGGATTTATACTCAAAATCATTAATAATAAATGTCACTCTAAGTGACTCTAAATATCTCTATGTCTTGAGATATCAGCCGATGACAGTATAAAGCCATCAGGGCTAGTAAGACATTTTACAATACTGTTTATTTCACCTTTATCTCCTCTTTTTATGTACGTTTGATTATTTTATAATATGCCTTCTATGTTATCAAAGAATACAAGTATAAAATTGATAAAGTATTGTTGGTACTTATCACAACCTTTACCGATGAGGTTTAAGCAGAAACATTTGGAACCTCTTATCTGAATGTATGTGCATAAATACATCATCTTATCTCTCAGGAAAAAGGTTCAAGGGTATCCAGACTTTGCAGAAATTCTCAACTTTTAGAATTATTTGTAAATCTCCGATAAGAAAGATGATGGAATCACCAGGAAATCTGCTTTAAATTTTTATTTTTCTTGTGAAAATAGCTGAAGTGGGAGGTTAAATTTAACTTTATCTCCCTTCAAACCTTGAGTAATAGTCTGGAAAGAGGATTTATGTCATCGCACTGAGTTCCCACTACCGCCTCCTGGAAAAGGCCAACAAAGAGGTGGACCCTGCAACTCATGGCTTGGCCAGACAAGCAATTAAACAGGAAAGCACAAACCCCTCTCCTCAGTGGGAATAACCGACTGCAAATCTGACCTGGTGGCCCCCTGGTCTGGATAAACAGAACCCTTGTTTGGTTGGGGAGGGTCAGAGGTACAGCGCTGACCTGGAAGCCTTGTGACCAGAAACCACATCCACTCTCACAAGCTCCCTGTCTTGATTTTCCTCCTTGATTGATTAGCCTAGTTACCATAGACGGATTCAACTGTACAATAGATGGCAGCTTCTAGATCAACATCAGAGCAATGTTATGGTCCAGGAATGTGACATGGGTTGAATATCTTCTAACTGGACTTAGAAAACCAGAGATCTATAAACATGTTTGTGAATTCCAACTTTCCTCCACCCTGTTTCTGCTACCAGGGCACATTCCACGTTGATCTCTTGTATGCCGATCAACATGATTTTATTGCTTTTTGTCACACATTTTAAACACTGATTTTCACAGAGTTACAGTCCCCGTGGCCTCCCCACACCACAACCAAACAAATGCGCTTTTACTGCCTCAAGGAAGATGTAAGTAATTTACTTGTAAAAGTGAGCTGAGCTCTCAGGAGAAATTCAGCCTCATGCTTCGTTCTGATGGATTTCAGTTCTCAATCTGTCCGGGACAGTCAATTAAAGATTAAGTTGGAATTGAAGTGAAACCTTCCAAGGCTCGTTTAGGTAGGGCCAGACACCCTCCATCAGGCCAAACAAGGGATGGGGATAAAGGATATGGACCTGGCTCTCCTCCTGGGGATGCCAGAGAGAACTTCTCTAGAAATAAATAGCCTCCCACTCGGGTAATTCTCAGGGTCATACTTTAACAAAAAGATGCAAGAAATGCACCAAGCCTTCTTGTTAAAATTCTTAATTGGAACAGCCTTTATAAAGTGGGAACGCTGTAAAAATGAAATGAGATAATGTGTGTGTGCACAGCATATAGGGCCATGCCTGGCATAGGGTACATGCTCAGTTATTGATCACTACAGCAAAGGTCAAGTG
The DNA here is from genome assembly GCF_000001405.40 of Homo sapiens. NCBI lineage: Eukaryota > Metazoa > Chordata > Mammalia > Primates > Hominidae > Homo > Homo sapiens. The sequence goes on along the minus strand of NC_000015.10, from coordinate 91,983,138 downwards.
TATCTTGTAAAACATAGCTTGTTAAAATGTGACTGCTACTTCTGACTACTCCCATCTCCAGCTTAATGGAAATAAGACCAAGGGATACCTGGAGAGGATCATCCACTTTGGATGAGGTCAGTCTCTTACTGCTGCTCCCATAGCCCAAGCAGGGGCTGCCATTCCGTAAAGGGACAGACTCCCTCAGTTCCTGGGAGTTTGGGGTGGAGGTGATGCAGGGAAGGCATCCCTGGAGAGGGTCCTGATCCCCTTGCTGGGTGTAATTCACAGGCCTGGGCTTGGGAGACTTATAATGGAGCTGAGTGGCCTTGGGCAAGCCCGTGCAGCTCCCCACCCACCAGCATCCATTAAACACCTCCTGTAGGGCTGGTGTGCAACACCTGTCCTCCCACCCATCTTAGCCTGTGCTTCACTCAAATCACTTGTCAGCAACTCAAATCACTTGTGATTCCAGGACACGCATCTTCCTTATTAAACTCTAGAGCAGTGATTTTCAAGGTGTTTTCTCAGAAACTCTATAGAGGGAGCCCGTGGCAAGGGCACAGAACTTCAAGCCCTAACACTGCTTTTGCCCAGAAAAGCTTGACTTGGTTGTTTCTCATTTTGGAATGTCCACCCAAGATGTTGTTTGAACCAAGGATTCTCCAGCTAAGGAAGAAAAAGAGTTGAAAATACTGCTTAACTGGAGATCAATCTTATGAACCCTTAAAGGAATCTTTAATTAGCTCTTATAGCAAATGCAGATTTGTCGAAAGAAACTACAACTCTTTCGCCTACAAGCCCTCCCCAGAGCCAAGGCTGGACTGTGAACCTGTTACTTAACTAGACACTCCAGTGTGGGCTAAGCCATCTTAAAACTAGGGCCCTGCCCTGATTGCTAAGTGACTTAACTTGATGCAAAATAAGAAGCCACACTCTGGGTTTCTTGCCTAAAGGAATGTGTGGCCGGCATGACCCATAGGTGGTCCCTCTCTGACAATCATCAAATATTAGCAAGAGCCACGGCATTGGCAAGAGCTCTTTGGGCAGCTGCCTGAGGGCCAGAATCTGGCATGCTGGCTGAAGCAGAGTCCTCACCTTGCACGCCAAGGACTTTGCAGCTGTGGGCACGCCCCTCTCCTGCAATGATGTGCATAACTTCAACAAGTGGTGCTGGGGACAGAAGAAGGCATGTAAGCATGCAGCCATGCAGCATCAAAGCGTGCTCACCAGCAAGCAGCTGCTTTGAGGGTCCATGGGCATCAACTTTGGGCAACGGGTTGTACATGCCACTGGTAAGGGGACAAGACTCACTGGGCACTGTGTCTGTTCTCAGGGAGCTTAGAACCTGGAGCAGAAACTAAGTGTCTACCCTGATGTCCACACTCTGTGGCAGGGGGATCTGTGACAACCTTTCCAACAAGAAAAAATTGAGAGAGCCAGACAAGGAGGGATACAGTCCTCTTTGTAAAGGGTTTTCGGATTGGGTGACTGCATGACCTCACGGCCCAAAGGGAGGGGTAGTTTGTGAAATTTTTTCCGAAAAAATCCTTGTTTAGATGATAAATGTTACGATCACCATACATAATGTGAGCTGGTCCTTGAAGGACTTATGGAATGCGCACAGGTAGGAAGCACTCTGCAGGATGGGAAGAACTAGAGGAAAAAGCCATGAGGTGGGAAAACGTGGGCATTTTGGGGGAATGTCAAGCTGGAGTCTGGAGTGGCTGGAGCATAAAGGGCATGAAGCGGAGTCTAAAGAGAGATGAGATGAGATACGCGCGGATTCCGAGGGGCCTCACAGGACGAGTTTACACTTTCTTTGCCCAGCGATGATGTCCCATGGAGCTTTCTGAGCAAGAAGTGTCATAGTCAGAGGTGAGCCATGGCACAAAGGAGCAGGGAGAAATGGGAGCCCCTGGCTGGCAGAGCAAGGAGGGTCTGGCTGGTGGGAGAAGGACCATGGCAGCCGGAAGGCCAGGCATCCGAATCATCCCACCCCAGCCTGGCCACTGCCCTGCTCTTTGCCCTCCCAGGCTGCCTGTCACTCTGAGGAATGTGGCACACTCTCCCTAAGGGGGAGGCAACTTGCTCATGCCACTTCCTGAACCCAGACTGGTCCCAGGACCATCTATTTTTGGCTCTCCCAAGCCAGTGTTTGACAAGAAAAGCACAGCTGCCAGTAATTTCGCCCCAGTGGAATCTACTGTTCTATAAAGGGTCATGCCAGTTTCTGCACATGAATTATGGTCACCTGGACCCAAGGCCAAGGGAAGCACCTCCGTCTTCAGCATCACGGTGCACTGGAGTCTTTCCCGGACCTGGGAAAAGTAGGCTGGTGCCTTTGTTCAGCTTGCACAGAAGTAGAAACAGAAGTTCAGCTTGCACAGAAGTCCAGTTGTTCCTGGGACTGTGTTTGTTCAAGGGGCACCAGGGCACCAAGAGACACACTCACTTCCTAGTGCATACAGCCTGCTCCGTGCCCAATAATAGCTGCATGGTGTGAGGGAGAAAACTGCAAAGCCAGCCAGGGCTACGCTTCTTATGGAATGATCCCTGGAGTAAAAGGGATTTATAGTCGAGGAGTTATGTTTAGAAAGGACCCACTCAGAACAGGAATGAGCTTAGAAACTTCATACCAACTAAAGCTTCATCCCTGGCCAGCTGAGTACCCCCTTCTCCCCTCTATCACCCTACGAATCCATTCACCATCTTTGCTTGGATTTTTTTTTTTTAAACTCTCAGATTTCCCAGCCCCCAAACTCTTGCCTCTCCAGTATCTTCAAAACTGGGGTCCAAGATGGTGAGCCCCTTAACGAAAAGGCTAGGTATTAATATCCTGTGTTACCTCTACACCCAGCACAGTAAAATAAATTTGAAGCGAATGAATAAAGAAGCAAACCAATGAATGTATGTCCCTTGGGCAGCTCCACCGGGGCAGCGAGGCCTCTCCCCACACCAACCCCTGAGAAATGTGAGTGGCACTACTGTAGTCACACAGGGACAGCTGAGGCCGAGAGGACTTGTTAACAATGCAGTCAGGAAGAGTGAAGGGAATCAGGCAGCAGTTTGAAAGAAATGTGCAAATCCAGCCTCTCTGTTGCTTTTCCTTTTGGAATATTTCTAATGCACCAAATGCGGATGGTGAAGCTCTAGATTCATTTTCCCCAGGAAAACATGTTTTCTTTGCTTGCTTAAGTGAAGCTCAGTGGCAAAAGTTTTGGCTGACTAGGAGAGTTGATGTTGGCAAATGTGGGTAGAGCTGATGAATGCCATGATCCTCACCAATAGTTTGTACACCCTAAGAAATTACTAATAACACTGATGACAATAATAGATGCTACCATTTAATTAGTATATACTGGGTGCAAGGCATTACGCTAAGCACTTGACATGCATTGTATACCGAAGAGTCACAGTTGTACTTAGGACATAGATACTATTATTATCTCTGGTTTTAGAGGAGGTTTAATGAGATAAAGCCTCTTGCTCAAGGTCACATAGCTAGTAAGTGGCAGAACAGTGATTTAAACCCAGGATAAGTGACAGCAAATTTACTTCTACACGGCAGTGCCATTCAATTTTTTTTTCCGTGGATAAATGGTCATACCCTTTAGGGAAGAGGTAGAAAGAAGAAAGGTTCTGCTAACTGCCAGACAACACGCTAAGGTTATTTATACAGGTTGAGCATCCCCAGTCTGAAATCCAAAATGCTCCAAAATCTGAAACTTTTTGAGTACTGCCAAGTGGAGAATTCCACACTTCACCTCACGTGATGAGTTGCAGTCAAACTGCAGTCAGCACTTTGTTCCATGCACAAAATTAGTTAGACTATTGTATCAAATTACCTTCAAGCTATGTGCATAAGGTGTATATGAAACAAAAGAACTTCATGTTGAGGCTTGGGTCCTATCCCCCAAATATCTCATCATGCACATGCACATATTCCAAAATTAAAAAAAAAAATTAGAAACACTTCTGGTCCCAAGCTTTTTGGGGCTAAGGGGTACTAAACCCGTATATGTAAACTCGCTTGATGCTTAATGATGAAAACTGCATTATGTCCCCTTTTTGCAAATGAGGTACCTGTATCTCAGAGAAGTTAACTAGCAGGTCTGAAGTCATAAATGATAGTTAGTACAAGTGAAGAGAATTGAGAATGGCAAACCAATTTTAGTAATCAATCAGTGCCAGAACACAGGCCAAAATAGGGTAGGTATGAGCAGTAGCTTATGCTAAGTGTTGAACTAGACCAGAGGTTGGCAAACTTTTTCTGTAAAGGGCCAGATATGGTCAATAGGATTTGGCCCGTGGGCCATAGTTCGCTGACCCTTGAACTAGATGATACTGATACGTGGAAAGTTTGAACCTTTGTGAGACTCCTGTTCCTAACAGTAGTATTCATATATGAATCCATTAATAATTTATAAGTTTAGTTTAATCTATCTACTTAGTAAAATCATTAACATATAATAAAAAGGTAAACCTGGGTTAATAAATAAACTCCAATGGGAAAATTCTAAGGCACATGCATGTTTTAGAGAGGGAAAAGTAAGAAAAATACATTCCACTGAGGGGGGAAAAAAGTAACACATTTGTACTATGAGCCCTGAATACAGAACAGACGCCAAGGCTTAAACTGACATCCAAATCCTTCCCTCCTCTTTGCAGTATGGACCAGGGCTTAGATGAGTTGGTGGCTTGGGTAATTAAGAACTCTAAAGATCACTGCCTTCAATCTAAAAGGCCACATGTTCACAGAAAGCTTTTTCCTTGCGTGGATGCCAGACACTTGTGCACAGTGCCATTTTCACTGAAGAGTAAAAGAGCTTAGTTCACTGAGAAAGAAAGAATTAAAGGACTGGAAATGTCTGAATCAGAAATAATCCATTTTCCTAAACAGCAGTGAGAAGGGAGGGTACCGCAGGATGGCCTATCATTTACAGGGGGGAAAAGACCTCCAGTAACTGACTGAAGTTCTGTCTTTGGTCAATGACCTTTAGCAATGTTCCTAGTCCTAGGTCTACCTGCGAAACCTGAAAAACTCCCCAGAAATGGGTGATGGGAGAAAACAAACAAGAAGCACAGGGTGGTATTCATTTTGTTTGGAAAATTATCTGATTCAATAATCAATTATTTCAATATTCAGGATCTGAGTCAATACTCTGTGTTTACTGAGTGCCTACTCAGTGCCTGGACCCATGCAAGGTTCAGGGAGACAACATTAGCAAGATAGCCAAGGTCTTTGTCCTCAAGAACTTCAGAGTTTCCTGGGAGGATCATTTAGGAAATATGTTTTTAATCTCAACCATTAAAAAGTATTTCTAATAAGGTTTGCTTGCAAAAGACCTTCTCTGATTTTTCTTTGTCGAGGTATCTTAGGACGCTATTGTCCAAAATAAAAACTTTTGATAGTTTTTGGGGTACAGGTGTTTTTTGGATTAGCTCTTTAGTGGTGGTGTCTGAGATTTTAGTGCACCCATCACCCAAGCAGTGTACATTCTACCCAATATGTAGTCCTTTATCCCTCACCCACCTCCCAATGTCCCCACACTCCAGTTGCCAAAGTTCGTTATATCACTCTATGCCTTTATGTCCTCATAGCTTAGCTCCTACTTAGAAGTGAGAACATGACATATTTGGTTTTCCATGTCTGAGAACCCCACTTTCCTAGAGCACATTCTCACCATTTTTCCCCTTCCTCCCTAATAACCCCAAACTGACTGAACTGGCTTTCTCTGCAGCTGCCAGGAGATATCACCTCTAAGTGTGTTACCGACAACTTGGAACGTATCACAACATCCTCAGACAGCTCCTTCGCTTCTCTCAATGAGCCATGAGGATACAGAAAGGAGGGTCAGCAACATGAGGCTGAAGCTCTTGGGTCATCATAATGTAGGGAAGACCAGTGCATGTCACCCCCCAGGTGGCAATGAGGAATTGATTGCTGGTCTCATTGCACTGACAAAACCTCAGGCAGTACGTTTTTGCACAATCCATGTATCCATCCATCCAATCATTCATGACATGTAGCAAAAATTTACCACTAGTGACACTGTGGTACTTTCACAGTGTTTCACAACTATCACCCCTATCTAGTTCCAGAACACTGTCAGGATTATCAGGAAGAGGAAATTCCCACCTAATAAATTTTGGTCAGACTGGTTGATCTCAAAACCCTGTCTCCTGATAAGATGTTCTCAATGACAGTGGTGCCTGAAACTTCAGTAGCAATTTTAATTTCGCCCCGGTCCTGTGGTCCTGTGATCTCGCCCTGCCTCCCTTTGCCTTGTGATATTCTATTACCTTGTAAAGTACTTGATGTCTGTGACCCACACCTATTTGCACACTCCCTCCCCTTTTGAAACTCCCTAATAAAAACTTGCTGGTTTTTGCGGCTTGTGGGGCATCACGGAACCTACCAACATGTGATGTCTCCCCCGGACGCCCAACTTTAAAATTTCTCTCTTTTGTACTCTGTCCCTTTATTTCTCAAGCTGGCCGGCACTTAAGGAAAATAGAAAAGAACCTACGTGAATATCGGGGCAGATTCCCCGATATCTGGTGCCCAACGTGGATTCCCCGATAGAGTTGAGGCTACTCCAAGGAGAAGGAGGAAAAAGTCTCGAAGCCCAATGGCACGTACAGAATGCAATTGGTACATGGCTACAGCTGTGTTGTCCAATGACAGCCACATGTGACTAGTGAGCACTTGCAATGTAGCTGGTCTAAAGTAAAATACGCTGTACATTTTCTACTATGTTAAAAAAAATAAAGTAGCTACATTTAAAAGTAGAAACATGCAAAATTAATTTTAATAATATTTAATATTTAATCCAAAATATCTGAAGTGTCATTTCAATGCATGGTCAATACAAAAGTTATTAAGATATTTTACAGTCTTTTTTTGGTACTAACTCTTTGAAATTCTCTGTGTATAGAGTTTCTTTGCTTCCATCTATCTTCTCCCCAGTACAGTTTGGGACCCTCATCACAATCAACATCCCCATTTCTGCTTTCTAGCCCAGGCTGTGGATGGTTGGCCACACTTCAAGAAATAATGCAGCATTGCTAATTATTTTGAATGTCCATCATTTGCAGAGTATCTAACATTAAAAATAATAATAATAAGGCACCTCTACACACACTGCCTCTCTCTAACAACCCAATAATCAAGTGAGGTGCTGCAAGCAATACAGTACCCCAGGGGTTATAGACAACAAAGAGGACTGCAGGGCTCAGTGATCTGACCAAGGTCACACTTCAGTGAGGTCTTTTACCTCTGGGGCCAGGGTTCTTTCCTCACTCCACCACTAGCACAGCTCTTCAGGCTGGTGTGTGCTAGGGAAAGTAGGCTGCTCCTCTTGCCTGCCTTGGAGCGTCCACCACTGGGTGGCTGTAAGGGGCAATCTCATAGTTATAGGAACAGGTCAGGTGGAGGCGTAGGAAGGAGGAGGCTGTGCTAGCAGTGCAGACGCACGTCTGACAGGCTGAGAGGAAGGTTGTACCTGGATGCAGCTTGTCTGCTGGAGACAGAAGCTGGCAGGGTGCCCCCCTGGCCCTAGAACCTGCTGCCACAGAAAGTGATCATCAACAAGCTCCTAGGCTGAACCCAACATTTGAAATACACAGCTGCTTCATAAGCAGGGCTCTCACCAAGTGTGTGGCATGACAGCTGACTCAGTCTGTGGCTAATCCTGCCAATGGTTCCTCCTGTAACTTCTGTCCGCTTAATGCAATCGCCAGTGTCCTCTGCTCTCATGTTTAGGGAGCCAACTGCAGGGGACACTGCATGTGTGTTGCTGGACAGGCTTGGGACAAGGGGGTGGGGTGGAGGATGGACTATGATGAATCATGGATCATGCCAGCTCCAGGCAAAGGATTCAAATTCAATTTTTTAAAATGCGCACCTGTCAGCCAATTGCAGCACACCTAGGTACCAGTTCACAAGTTCAGCTCTAGAACATGACACTCTTAAAGCCCTTTCCTCTGCCTTCCCTAAATGGTAAAAAGAGAATAACACTGGTTAACTCTGAGAATTTACTATATTCTAGGCACCATTCCAGGCACTTTATTTGCACTAAATCATTTAATCTCATAAAACACCTATGATGCAGGAACACTTATTCTACTCATTTTACAGATAGGAACTGCAGTACAGAGAAATTAAGTTAACTACCCCAGACTGCACACAGAGGAACCCCAGAAGCTGGGATGGGAACCCAGACAGGGAGGCTCCCAGAGCCTGGCCCTCTGTAAAGGGTATCTAGTGCCAGCAAGATTTGCTTTCTTAATGAAGGAACTGTCTTGTCTATTTTGATGCTAAATGGGGACACTGGCTTCATCACACCTCTTGAAGACAGGGTCACCCCTACCCTATCACAGAGGGACTGGAAATGAATGTCTCCGCCTTCCTGCCAGCACAGCACATCTTTCCTCTTTCGGAGAGATTTTCCCTAGAAGCCACAGTGGACACTTGCAGGAGGCACCCAATTCTCTGCTCCCTGGGGAGTTCCCTGTGGTCTTCCCCTCACCCCACCTCCCGCCTCCCTGCCCTGCCCACAGCACACGCCTACCCTGCCTGGCTCTGCCCGCTGGCACCTTTTACCTCCCACCACGCTCTTCCCTCTGCCTGGACTCTCCCTTCACCTTCTAGTTTCCAGCAGTGACTCACCCAGAAACCTTCACCCTCCTCTGTTTCTCCAGGCCAAGGTGCCCGTTGCCTCCTCTGGAGCCCTGCAGCACTTGGCAAATACTCTCAATACAGGAATTTACACAACTCATTTTTATTCATGAGTCTGTCTCTGAAAACTGCAAGTTCCCCCAGGATACACTGCAAATGCTAAGAAGGCTTAGAGAAATAATAATAATAATAATAATAATAATAATAATAACAATAATGAAAATGGTGTCCGTTTAGGTCAGGCTGACCTCCTATGAAGGGACCTGGCTTTCTGGAACCTGCTGTCCTGGTTCTTATCCTTACTGTTGGACCCCAGGCTGACCTTGAGCCTTGAGTGATGTCCCACATCCCGTGAGTCTTTTCCAGATGGCTTTGGGTCCACAGCCTGGTTTCTTAGGTCCAGGGACACTCTCTCTTGCCTGCCTTGTCACCTACTGGTGCCTGCTCACCACAGAACAGGTACCAATAGGCCTGGCTCACAGACAGGTCATATCTTACTGAATATAGAAAATGTAGAAAGAAAAGTGAATTTTGAGCCAGGAATGATGGCACATCAGAAGGAAATACCTTTATAGAAGTTTCTGGATATAGTTTGTAACTTTTCAGCCCATAACATGCTCCCAACTCAAACCACTTCGAGAGCCTGCTTTCCCCTTAATCAGGTATTCTCAGGCTTGGCATTATTGACATTTGGGGTTGGATAATTCTTTGTTGTGGATGCCGGTCCTGTGCACCGATGGAGGCTTGACAGCATCCGCAGCCTCTCCCCACTAGATGCCAGTAGCACTTCCCCTGTGTTCCAACCCTGTTATGACAGCAACCAAAAATGAATCCAGACACTGCCAAACGTCATGAGGTGCAAAAGCACCCAGGTTGAGAAGCTCTGCCCTAACTCGCCCTCGAATCCTGCAATCGCTCACTCAACTTCATTCCCTTCAAACGCACCATGATTTTAGACACTCAGACAATACACCAGCTTCAGCCCCCCTTCTTCCTGCTGTTGCATCTGTTTTTCCAGTCAGCCACCAACTAAAGATAATTGTATCTTGACTTGTCACAGGTTTGAATTTAAATTCCACCCCTTACTAGCTGTGTGTCCTCTGACAATGCAGGTAACCTCGCTGTGCCTGCTCTTCATCAGCAGAATGGAGATAATGGTATCTCAGAGGGCTGCCGTCAAGTTCAAAGACATCCAGTGTGAAGTGCCTGGGAGGAGCAGGCACCTGAGAATTCATTCGTTCCTTGGATATCCAAGACCACTTCTTCTCTGGGAAATGAGAGAGCAGAGGGGTTGCAATCCCCACCCTTTTGCCTCAGTTCCCCTGCCCCAGGGCACTGCCCGTTGCCCTTTTCTTTTCTTTTTGAGACGGAGTCTTGCTCTGTTGCCAGACTGGAGTGCAATGGCGTGATCTCGGCTCACTGCAACCTCTGCCTCCCGGGTTCAAGCGATTCTCCTGCCTCCCTAGTAGCTGGGACTACAAGTGCATGCCACCATGCTTAGCTGATTTTTGTATATTTAGTAGAGACGGGGCTTCACTATATTGGCCAGGATGGTCTCGAACCCCTGACCTCAGGTGATCCGCCTGCCTCGGCCTCCCAAAGTGCTGGGATTACAGGCATGAGCCACCATGCCCGGCCCCACTGTCCTTTTCTATGTATGTGTGGACAGAGGGGCAGTTCATCCACAGTCAAACCTGGAGGACCGAGGCAGCACCAGGAACCACACCAGAGGCCACGCAAGGGCATTCCCTGGGCCTCTGTCCTGACCTGGAGGACAAGGGCTCATCACTGCAGCACCCTTTCTAATAAATCCACCGTACTGAAGATCGATCGGTCAGCACGTTTCCCTGGTGCCTTGAGCCTCAGTCTGTTTGAGGTCCTGTAACAATACAACAGCCTGGGTGGCTTATAAACAACAGAAATTTACTTCTCACAGTTCTGGAGTCTAGAAGTCCAAAAGAAGGCGCCACCAGAAGATTTGGTGTCTGTTGGAAGGCCACTTTCTGGTTCACAGATGGCATGTCCTAGGTGTACCCTCACGTCATGGAGAGGGCGAGGCACCTCTCTGGGGCCTCTTTTATAAGGGTACTAACCCCATCATGGGGGCTCCTCCATCATGACCTATTCGAGTTCTGTTGAAATCTAACCCACCTTGGGTTAGGATTCACACAAACATTCAGACCATACCACCTTGGTTCATGTCAGCACCCTCATCTCCCATATCCACCTCCCAACCCAGCGCAGCCACCTGTCTGAAGGTATAATCTCTTAATGGAGACTTCTCCATACGACTTCAAATATGGTAGACGTTTTCCAATATGGTATCATAGGTATAGAGCTCTACATAAAACCCTCTCCCTCACCCCTTTATATAGTCAATTCTCATTATCCAAGATATAGGTTGAGCATCCCTCATCCAAAAATCCAAAATCTGAAATGCTCCAAAATCCTTAGTTTTTTGAGCGCCAACATGACGCTCAAAGGAAATGCTCATTGGTAAGGAATATAATGCAAATATTCCAAACTCATAAAAAAAAATCCAAGATCCAAAACACTTCTGGTCCCAAGCATTTCTGATCAGGGATACTCAAACTGCAGTTATGTTCTAGAAAGTCTCCACAAACACTGAACTGTTGAATACGGAGCCACTGCTGAATACGGAGCCACTGCTGCTAGGGGAAATACAGGGTTAGGTTCCTGCGAGCCTCTGTTCACAACATTTTCATCAACTCATCACCACATAACCTTGTGTTAAGTGTGTTTCTGTTTAAACAAACCTTATTTAATGTATATCTTTGATTCATTAACATGGAGCTCATGGCAAACAATGCTGTAACTCATGCCTGCATGAAGCTTCTTTAACACACATATTTTCTCTGTAAGGCAAATCACAGGTGTCCTGTGCTTAGGAACACTAGACAGCTCTTCAGCACTGTGCTTGGGGCCTTTTCAAACAGTAAAATCATCAACAAAAGCACAAAAACATGGAAGAATATGACATCAAATAGACAACAAAAAGGATACTTGTTTACAGCATGAGAGCTGAAACAAGAAGGAAGAGGTTGCTTTTTTTTTTTTTTTTGAGATGGAGTCTCGCTCTGTCACCCAGGCTGGAGTGCAGTGGCACGACCTCGGCTCACTGCAAGCTCCGCCTCCCGGGTTCACCCCATTGTCCTGCCTCAGCCTCCCGAGTAGCTGGGACTACAGGCACCTGCCACCATGCTCGGCTAATTTTTTGTATTTTTAGTAGAGATGGAGTTTCACTGTGTTAGCCAGGATGGTTTCGATCTCCTGATCCCATGATCCGCCCGCCTCGGCCTCCCGAAGTGCTAAGATTACAGGTGTGAGCCACCGCGCCCGGCCAAGGTCACCTTGTTTGACCTCAGCTGGGAACAGGCACTTCAGGCAACTCAAATGTTTCCCCACCCTGCACATGTCTTCAAAGGTGCCGTGAGTATTGATTTGGGGGCTACAAATACATTTTAGCAAATAGGCAAATTCCCAAATACAGAAACCACAAATAATGAAGACTGACTACATATGCCTATACCTATTTAAGGATTTGCACACATGCACACACACACACACAAACACACACACCCTTCATCTGGTTGGGCATTAGTAGCATGAGGACGGCAGACGCCCCTTGTACACAGGTGGAAGCTCTGTCTACTCTTCTAGCCTGAGAAGACTGCCGCCTGTCAGAAGGAAAACTTCATGTTCACATGGGCACTGTCTAACCAAAGCAGGGCACTGCACAGTGGCAGGATACACCCTGGATGCCTGTTTTTTGGTCAGGGGAAACCCAGAGGTTTGAAGGAGTAATGGGAGAAATGGGTCCACTTAAGAAAGAACCATGTTGTTTCATTAGGGCTCCTTGTGAGTCCCTGGGAGCTGGATACCACTTGTCTCCTACCTACCCGCTTTCATTCTCCAGGAGCACCTCCTGGTCACAGGCTCAGCAAACGCTCACAGACCTCAAGTTCCATGTTGACTCTCGTGTGTTGACTACAGAGAAAGGAGAGGACTCCACAACTCTGCCCACCCCAAAGGCACCTCCCATCAGCGGCTCCAGCAACTTTGCTGGCTGCTCCAGGGTGTGATGGAGCCCAAACTGCCCAGGCTTGGGGCCAGCACACCAGCTGCGGATTTCATCACCACTCTCCTTGTTTTAGAAACAGAGCCCAAAGACAGGCATGCAAATATGCTGTGCTCTGGCCAGATTTTAAATAATACACTAAAATATTAGTTCAGAACATACTCGGCCTCTCTCCTACATGTGCTACATGTGCTTGCTCACGAAGTGTTTTGAACAGCGTGGGGAGAAGGTACTGTATTTCAATGCCTCTTTTTAGTTTTAAGGCTGTAAGTTTTTTTTGTTTTGTTTTCTGCTAGAGCCAAAATGTTTTTCTGGGTGAGCAGAAATAGCCTTTTTGCCTTTTAACATTTCGCTGAGGGGAAAAAACACTACACTTCCTTGCTCATCATGGCAAATGTTATGCTGGAGGATTTTGACACACACAGAACTAGCTAGGAAGTTAGAGTCCAAACTGATGACTGCGCCCAGGTCAAATTTTCTTCTACCCAGCAATGCAAAGGGCTCACCCTACCCAATTCCCCAGCAACTCATTCTAGGTCTGTGGACCAGCCCCCGCCACCAGGAAACCATAGACATAGCTAGATCTCTTCCACTGAAAAATGGGGACTTCTCTTGGGAGAATATAAGGGTGAGCCCATAAGATGCCAGGCCCAACAAGGGAGCACTTCTACCAGAAAAGGAATTCTATAGATGGAGTCTTATGAGTGTTATGAAGTAAAAGGAGATTTTGGTAATGTTTTTGATAGAAAGACAACAATAATTGTAACAAGAGGCCAGGCACTGTGGCTCATGTCTGTAATCCCAGCACTTTGGGAGGCCAAGGTGGGTGGACCACCTGAGGTGAGGAGTTTGAGACCAGCCTGGCCAACATGGAGAAACCCCCTACTTTACTAAAAATACAAAAATTAGCCAGGCATGGTGGCACGTACCTGTAACCCAAGCTATTTGGGAGACTGAGGCAGGAGAATCACTTGAACCTAGGAGGTGGAGGTTGCAGTGAGCCAAGATTGTGCCACTGCAATCCAGCCTGGGCAACAGAGTGAGAATTCATCTCAAAAAAAAAAAAATTATATATATACAGACAAACACAAGAAATTTTACTCCACAACAACAATTAGTTCTTAGTATCCACATGTAGTAGTCAGATATTCTACACCACTTCTACCCCAAAAAATGATTTATTCACTCATTCATTCGACAAATATCTACTAATTGCCTTTATGTGCCAGGCACATATTTCTGTACATGTGCTGTATACAACGAAAAGATGAGCTTTACCTCTCAAAGTGTGTAGCGGGGACACAGGTGTATGTGCAACAGATACAATCACACCAAAAAATGATGCAAGGTGACAGTGCTAAACACAGTGTGGACCTGTTAGCAAACTCTTGTGTTGGAGGTAGGTGGAGGCAGAGATGGCTTCTGAGAGGAAGGGACCTCTGAGCTGACTCTACATGGAGCAACACGAGTTTGCCAGATCCCCTGGGTAGGGGAAAGAGAAAGGAGACTCCATGCAGAGGAACCAGAATGTGCCAAGCAAAAAGGCGCCAATAAACAGCGCCACCCTAAGGGTAACCACGGACAGTGCAGTGCCTGCTGTGAGCGCACAAAGAAGCTGGACACGTCGTGAGTGCCGTAAATACTGCGGCTGTGTGAGCACACGTGCGAAGGCTGTGCTTGCGGGTCTGCGTGTGCACCCTTTCTCTGTCTGAAGAATGGGTTGGGGAATGAAGCTTCACATGGAAGCAGGGGTCGCTTGTTTCTACCCTGGCTTCTTCTCACTCCTTGTCTGTGATGGAACTTCCTTTGTTAGCACCAGAATTTGATGCCACTGGTCCCCACGGTGGTTTGTGGAGCCCTATTCACCTCACCTAGTGAGAAGACATGATAAATTAGAGGCCCTGTTCTAGCCAGGACACCTCCATGCTGCATAATAAGCACAGGCTGGAGGATTCTAGAGGGCCACTCTATGACTCACTCTCTGTGCTTACCAGTCCAAGCAGAACTCAGCAGAATCTACTTGAGAGAAAGCTCGCAGGAGACTAGAAAGTCATTTTAATGATGCCAGCTAAACTTCTCTTTCCTCTCCTCCATCTGCTGTTTTCCCCAGGTGGAGAAGTAAAAGACTGTAAGGTAGGGAGGGGGCATACAGACTTTTCCAGTCTCTGATCCGGCACTGAAACTCAGGGCACACGCTCTCCTCTGTGGGCATGGATGATTACGTCCTCTGTCTGAGAAAGGAGACACGCACTGTGCTTTGATGGATAGGCCGTAAGTGGCTTCCCTGGGTACTTTCCAGGGCGACTAGGCAGGGGACTCTAGAAAATGTTCAGGATGGAAGCATCTGAACAAGTAAGGCAATCAGAAGGGAAGGAAGATAGGGACATTTCAAAGCCATCTTGCATCTCTGCAGGAAGAGGGGAGCAAAGAGGAGGGAAGAGAGCCACCTTCTTGATTTAGCTGCCTGTGGATTTGCTCTTGAGAGCTCTTGGTGCTGAATCCTGCAGACAAAGCAGACAAGGAAAGAGCCTATGCCAGCGGGATTTGGGAGAACACTGAAGTGACCTTGACCTTTAGTCCTGCCACTACGTCCTCGTGGTTCCCCAAAAGTAGGCTGTTTGAAAACAACACAGCCAAAAACTGTGCTATTGATATTTGAGAGACAATATGATCCAGGAAAACAGGAGAGATAACAAGGTCTGGAAGTCAACAGAACAAGGACAAAACAATTAATCCATCTGTAAAACGGGTTTAATTTATTTCATATGGGATTATCTGTGTAATAGGTGTCTTATCCATATTGATTTTTATTATATGTCGAGTGCTGTCTTTATCCTGTGGCAACGCTTCTGCGTTATGTCCCCACAACGGCACCTCAGTCCTACAGGAGAGGTGGGGAGACAAATGATACTATTAGCCAAAGAAAAGCATAACCAGAGGAGGGACATTCTACCACAGATCACCATATAAAGCTTCAAGCAGGGGGAGTTATTTGGACTCTTATGGGTTAATCTATACTGCTGTTCATTTCTGTGTAGAGCAGTTAATCTAGAAAACAGTACTCTCTGCTTCCTCTTATACCTCTGCAACATGCTCTGATAACTAAAAACCTCTCTTATTGTCATTTTAATATTTTAAATGAATAAAAATGTAACAACTCACTGGGTTTATTTAGACATAGTTTCCTACCATCTAATAATCTTTTTGTTTTTTTAGAAAGGATAAAAAGCAGCACAAATAGAATGAGGTATTTCAAAACTTCTTTAGAGCCTAACTCTTCTGGATCATTTACAAAGACAGTTTTAAAGCCCTTTATAAAGTTATCTGAAAGCAGAGTTCAAAAATACAAATTGTATCTCATCTCTCTTGCTGTCAAAAAAAAAAATCCCCAAAAAACTGCACCACGCTTTTGTCTTCTCCTCCATGACCAAAGCTGCCCTTTGGAAGTAAAATGCCACACAACATAATTGGTGCAGCAGCCCAGCTCTCTGCAGAAGCTAGGGTTAGACTTTTTTACATTCTACAAAGCGCCACCTTATCTTTCTGCTTCAAGTTGAAATCACCTTTTTCCACGAACAGTGCCAGATGCTCTGTTTGAGAAGCATCACCAAAGCCCAGGCATGAATTCCTTCCACTGCTGAGACATTCTAATACACCAGGTTAACTGGGATCTGAGAATGGTTACTGCTCCTAAGGGTCCCATTTAATTAAATGTTCCTACAATTTGCATTTGGAAAGCACATCATCATCACTGCCTGTTGCTTTAATGAAAACTTGAGTCCTCAAAATTTGGGTGCTAGACACAGTATCCTGAAAGGATCATATCCTGAAATGTTCAGAAGCGCAGTTTTGTGCCCAGTTCTAACAGGGATTTTTCTGTCCCATGTACCCTGGGGACAGTGATGTTGCATTGTGCACAGTGGGAAAAACATCTTCCTCAGAGATGCTGGTACTGATGATACATTAGTGGGAACTTGTACACAGGCCATGAGAATCATCGTCAGCTAAAATCTGAGCTGTCCGTCCCTCCACTCCCCTGGCTACAAACCTCTTTGTCTGCACTGGTGTCAGTGCTGGCCTCGGTCAGTACAAAGCCTGAACTCTTTTCTCTGCGTCCCAAATCTGTCACAAAGCAAAAATGTCCTGACCTCATCTGAGCTACGGGTGCAGTTATGGTGTGGCTGGGGCTGCCAGCCGAGGCCCCTGTTTCTGTCTGGGTCATTTCTCAACCTATCTCGACTCAACCTTGTTACTTCAGATCAGAGCTGCCCATAATTCGCTGGGCACAAATGCCCTGCGGCTGCCAAAATGACGAGGCTCTGATGCCTTCTGGATGACTCACGGAATGAACCAGGAGGGGATGAAATACACCAGTTCTTAACAAAATTGCATGAAAATGACACCGAATTCAGAAAGCTTCACACAATCTCCTTGAGGGCTCCTATTTGAGTTTCTCTCCTCCCTTCAATGAAAGCAAGGAGCTGGAATCAATGTCCTCAGGGCTGGACTGGCTCAATCGACTAAGGGCTTACTCCTTCCTGATCCCTCCAGGAGTACATTCTGGCAGTAGAAGCAATTTAGAGCAGGTGTGCACACCCACACTCACTCCTACGAATTTCCCTCCACACACACACACACACACACACACACACACACCCTGCTGGCTGCCCACAATTCAAGTGCACCTGTAGACAAAAGATTCCTTTGGACTTGGTGCCTCTCAACAAAACCCTCCTGGTAGGCAAGCCCTGCCAACTCCCACTCCCTAGGCAAGGCCAGGCTGGTGAGAGGAGGAAGGATGAGCAGGCAACATAGAAAAACAAAAGGGAAGGGAAGTTAGGGGGTGGGGTGGGAGTCTCAATCCTGGATTCTAAAGTGAACAGTCAATGAAGGATATTTTTAGAGAGCCTCAGAGGCCCAAATGAGATTGTTCCTCACAATGGAGGATATTTATTTGGACCTGTCAGGTCTAGTTTTAAAAGTCCTTCTTCAATACCACATAGAATCCAGGGATTTGAGCAGGATCTCAGGCCTCTAAATCATTACGGGACATCCAAACATCCAGGGGGATAAATGTTTCCTTTGGGGATCCCTGAGGAGCCAGGGCTTGGCTTTGGGTTTCCCAAGCACTGGGATGCTGGTGGTGGGAGAGGGGTCTGCATATGCGTTTCTCTTTAATCATGTGTCTTCTCTCCAATTCTCCTGTTCTCTAGGGCACTCAATTTTAATGTATACCTCTTCCCCTTCCCAACAGATTCTAAAAACCCTAATCATCCACTGAGTATCCCCACAGCCCCCTCTCCCTGGGTATGTTTGCTGTCATGGGGGAGCTGAGGTCCCCAGTACCTCTTCAGATGGTGGTGATGACTGTAATCCTCCCAAAAGCTGGCATGGCACACGCAGAAAAGTCTAGAGGTAGGACTGCTGGCCACACTCAAAAACTCGTGGAAAGACAAAGTACGGGACAAGGTAATGGATAAGGCCTGGATTCCAGACCACACACTGTCACCTGACGCTCTGTGACCCTGAGCAAGTCACTCAATTCTGTGAGCTGCCACTTCTTCATCGCAAAAGGGAGGTATCCAAGGAAATAGCTTTCTAGAACATACTCGAAGTACATTAAAAAAAAAAAAACTATCTAATTTTAAAGGATGTTAGTACCCAGCTTGCTTCTGCTTCTTCCCAACACACTGCTCAACTCTCTTTCTCTACCAGAGATGGGACGGAGCTGTGGCCAATGAGGTGCCACTTCCGGCCTGGTCCACAAGACTTCCCATGCCCCTTCCACCAGGGTCTTTTCTCCTCCTGCTTGATGCCGACAAGCATAGCAACCTTGAATAGGAGGAACTAAATATAGCAACACTAACATGGCAAGAGCTACTACACAGAGCTGCCCACATATTAGTAAAACCTGTTCTGGAGTCACCTGAGCATAAAAAAAAAAAGCAATGATGCATGTGAGGGTTTGCTTCTTGCAGTAGCTGTCAGTCGAACAAATACATTTACCATGCCCTAAAAAGGGTAGAAAGTATAAAGCACTATCAAATATTTCACCTAAAAATGACCAAAAACAAAAAAAAATTACAGATGACAAGGCCGTTGTATCTACTTTTAGAGCTCTGAGCAATCACACAGAAGTCTTGTGATTAATGGAACATTCCAGGTTCCATTACATTTCCAACAAGTTTCTACCACAGGTTTGCTTTTCCTGAAAACCTACTTTCATAAACTGAAAACAAGTAGGTTCCCCACCCATACTGAGAGGTGAAGCCAGCTGAGCTTCTGGGTCAGGTGGGGACTTGGAGAACTTTTGTGTCTAGCTAAAGGACTGTAAATGCACCAATCAGTGCTCTGGGTCTAGTTAAAAGATGGTGAACACACCAATCAGCACTTTGTAAAATGGACCAATCAGCACTCTGTAAAATGGACCAATCAGCAGGATGTGGGCGGGGCCAAATAAGGGAATAAAAGCTGGCCACCCGAAATAGCAGCGGCAACCTGCTTGGGTCCCCTTCCACGCCGTGGAAGCTTTGTTCTTTCGCTCTTCACAATAAATCTTGCTGCTGCTCAGTCTGGTTCTGCACTACCTTTATGATCTGTAATACTCACTGCGAAGGTCTGTGGCATGACTCCTGAAGTCAGCGAGACCACGAACCCACCAAAAGGAAGAAACTCCTGACACATCTGAACCTCGGAAGGAACAACTCCAGACGCATCATCTTTAAGAACTGTAACACTCACCGCGAAGGTCCACGGCTTCATTCTTGAAGTCAGCAAAACCAAGAACCCACCAGAAGGAACCAGTTCTGGACAGAATACAATTAATATCTACTGCAATAAAATCCCACGGTGTGATCCAATCAGATGAAATGTTATTTGGGGCATTGGTTCTCACTACCCACACCACTTTCTCATTAGCACAACATTCAGGAGTTAATCAGCCCCAGGCTGCTGCCGCCCCCCCCCCCCACCCTCCCCGAGTTAAACCCTCACGAGAGAGAAACTGTGGCAGGCCTGGTCTCCCTAACAGCTGAACAGGGTAGCCTCCATAATAACTGTCTCAGCACTGACTGACTGGTGAAGTTAAATATTAAAAGCTGAAAGCTGAAAGAGCCAGTGCCCATATACAAAGGCTGGAATGCAACAAAAGCCCACCAAGCATCTTGCCTAGGACTTTCCCGGGCCTCGAAGCACGACAAGATAACAAAGGAATTCTTAACAGGACCTATTTAGGATTAAACAGGTGTATTGGGGGTCTGAAGGAACTCCCCAAACCTCCATGATTTAGCAGGAGACAAGGGTAATCACCCCCAGCACCCGGACCCATTTAGATTAAGTAAATTTACTGAGGCTCCAGAGGAAGGTCTTCAGGAATCAGATCTTAGTTACAGATTGGAAGAAGTTAATCACTTATGTCTTCAGATGAATGCACACTTACACACAGACATACAGCTTAGAAAGTATATAAGCTCTGGAAAACTTTGTAATTTTGAGTTGGTCTGGCGATGTTTTCCAGGCCTTCTCCCTGTACCCGGCTCCAGAAATAAACTCTCTCCTTTCCCAGCTCATCTGCATCTCGTTATTGGGTTGTGAAAGTAAGCAGCCCGAGGACCCTCAGTTTGGTCCAGGAACAAAGCATCTGGTGTGCTGCTGGGGATGGGGTGCACTGGACAGCCTGAGATCACCAAGAGGCTCCTAAACATCACTGCTGGGCTCTCCGTTGGGCTTAGGACCTTCCACAGCCATTTCCACCTCTCATTCTCTCCTCCTTCCCCGGCTCCACTTCCCTCCTCAGCACCAAGTCTCTCCCATTGCTGTTTGGCCAGCTTTCAGTTGTTTCCTGTTTTCTTTCTCAGGCCACAGGAAATCCTTGCTCTTTTTTTTTTTTTTTTTTTTTTGAGACGGAGTTTCGCTCTTGTTGCCCAGGCTGGAGTGCAATGGCGCGATCTCAGTTCACCGCAACCTCTGTCTCCTGGGTTCAAGTGATTTTCCTGCCTCAGCCTCCAGAGTAGCTGGGATCACAGGCATGTGCCACCATGCCTGGCTAATTTTGTATTTTTAGTAAAGACAGGGTTTCTCCATGTTGGTCAGGTTGGTCTCGAACTCCCGACCTCAGGTGATCCATCTGCCTCGGCCTCCCAAAGTGCTGGGATTACAGGTGTGAGCCACTGTGCACGGCCGCTCTGTAATTCTTAAAATGTCCACTCTAGTCACTGCCTCATATGCTACCTCCCGCTGCAGTCTGCGGCATCTTCTGAGCCTGTCTGTATGACCGCCAGAGTTTGTTCTTGGGCCCTGCGAGCCTGAGATGGCTGCATCAGGACCAGAAGAGCTGAGCTCAACTTCTGACTCAGCAGCGACTACTTTGTGACCTTGAATAATTCTCCCCAGTCTTCTGAGTCCAGGTTTCCTCCCACATGATGGGAATTATAATACCTCTGTCCCAGGGTTTTCATAAAATCAAATGCATTCATTCATTCAGTACACATGTGCTGGGTCCCTTCCATGTTCTGAGAACCATCTCAAGCTTTAAACATGTAACAGTGAATGGGTCGCTCTCATAGAGCTGGCATTCTGGTGAGGAATGACAATAAGTAAATAAATGTATTTTATGCTAGATGGCAATATGTGAAGAAAAACAAAGCCAAGTAAGGCGACTAAGAGTAAAGGTGGCAGATGAGTAGGGGAAGGGTATTCAGGGAAGGCCTCTCTGATGGGAAGACCCACAAGCAGGGGCCTGAATGAAGCCAGAGAGCAAGTGCAAAGGCCCTGAGGTAGGATTTGCAATACACTGTAGGGGAAAATACACTGAAAAGTGCCTATGAGTGTGAGATATGACTCATCTCTGGAATCCCACACACCTTGGACTGAGATGTTTTTAATCAACCTCATTGCCTGACATATGCCCTGTTTTCCTTTCCTCAGAGTAGAACCAGAGAGCTGTTCTTCTGCCCCACCATTCTTCCCTCTCCTTCAAGACAACACGCCACTATTGCCTATGCCCTTCAGGCAAAATCAGGAAAATCAAGCCTTCCTTTGGGAAAATGGGAAGAGAAAGCCTCAAAAGTTCAAACACAAGTACTTGCCAAGGCAGTCCTGACTATGCCTTTGTTATCAAATCCTTGCCAGCAGGCAGCCAAAAATTAATGAATCTTCTACAAATGCTTCATAATTCTACTGGGATAATAGATAATGCAATTAGGAGATAAATTGACTAGAATGAGATAAACTAAGTATTCAAAAATCACGTTTCAGACAAGTATGCTTAAAGTCAAGGGTCCTCTCGGAGCAGAATGGCAAATTTCATTCAGAAAAGGGCCACTCAAGGGAGAGAGTAACGTCCTGAGAGCGGAGTAAAATAAAGCCTCATGGTTGAGCAGACTATGGTCTGACAGAGGCATCCGGAACATCAGGCTACAGGTGGAGCATTTCTAATCCAAAAATCTGATATCCAAAATGCTCCAAAATACAAATCCTTTTGAGTGCTGACATGACACTCAAAGGAAATGCTCATTGGAACATTTCAGATTTTGGATTTTTGGATTTGGGGTGCTCAACTTGTAAGTGACTATATATAATGCAAATATTCAAAATTCTGAAAAAATCCAAAATCTGAAACACTTCTCATCCCAAGCATTTTGGATAAGAGACAACCTGTAGGATGAGCAAAGAAGGGGTACTGCAGGTGGCAAAATCAAGTGAATAACCAGCTAGTCATATGAAATAGTGAGAAAAGAATAAATTACTCCTGTATCAAAAGAATGTCTGCTGAGATAAGTAAAATAGCTCTCTCAAAATATGTTCTTAATTTGAAAGGAACGAGTTTAGGAGCTACAGGACGATCTGGGACACCACAGAGAGAAGGCATCCCGGAACTGGCTTGGATGTATCCAATAAGAGGTTGCCTCGTCCACACCAAATGTGTATACAAACCTTCAGAGCAGAATTATTCTTCACAGTGAAAAAGTGGTAACAACCCAAATGTCCATCAATGGTTGAATGAACAAAATGTGGTGTCTCCATACCCATTACAACATGGATGGACCTTACAAACATCATGGTGGTGAAAGAAGGCAGTCATAAAAGGCCACATAAGGCCGGGCGTGGTGGCTCACGCCTGTAATCTCAGCACTCTGGGAGGCCGAGGTGGGCAGATCACGAGGTCAGGAGATCGAGAGCATCCTGGCTAACATCGTGAAACTCCGTCTCTACTAACAATACAAAAAGTTAGCCGAGCATGGTGGCACGCGCCTATAGTCCCAGCTACTCGGGAGGCTAAGGCAGGAGAATCTTTTGAACCCAGGAGGCGGAGGTTGCAGTGAGCCGAGATTGTGCCACTGCATTCCAGCCTGGATGACAGAGTGAGACTCCATCTCAAAACAAACAAAAAAAGGCCACATATTGTATGATTCTGTTTACGTGAAATGTTAAGAATGGGCAAATCAAATAGACACAGAAAGTAAATTAGTGTTTGGCAGCACCTGCTAGGGAGGGCATAATGAAAGTGATTGCTAGTGAGTAAGAGGTTCCATTTTAGGGGTGATGAAAATGTTTTAAAATTGAATTGTGCTAATGGTTGCACAACTCTATGAATACACTAAACAACTGAACTGTGTATATTTTTTATACTTTTCTTTTTTTTTTTTTTTTTTTTGAGATGGAGTCTCACTCTGTTGCCCAGGCTGGAGTGCAGTGGCGTGATCTCAGCTCACTGCAACCTCCTCCTCCCAGGTTCAAGCGATTCTCCTGCCTCAGCTTCCTGGGATTACAGGTGCCCACCACCACACCCAGCGAATTTTTTTGTATTTTTAGGAGAGATGGGGTTTCACCATGCTGGCCAGGCTTGTCTCAAATTCCCGACCTCAGGCGATCTGCCCGCCTCAGCTTCCCAAAGTGCTGGGATTACAGGTGTGAGCCACCGTGCCCAGCCTATAATTTTCTTTTTTAAAATTTCAATCGTTTTTGGAGTACCAGTGGTTTTTCATTACATGAACGAGTTCTTTAGTGGTCAGTTCTGAGATTTTGGTGCACCCATCACCCGAGCAGTGTTCACTGTACCAATATGTTGTCTTTTATCCCTCACCCGCCTTCCAACCTCCCCAACCCCCAAGTCCCCAGAGTCCATTATATCTCTCTATATGCCTTTGTGTCCTCATAGCTTAGCTCCCTCCCACTCATAAGTGAGAACGTATGGTATTTGGTTTTCCACTCCTGAGCTACTTCCCTTAGAATAACAGCCTCCAGCTCCATCCAAGTTGCTGCAAAATACATTATTTCGTTCCTTTTTATGGTTGAGTAGTATTCCGTGGTGTATATATGCCACATTTTCTTTATCCACTCCTTGGTTGAGGGGCAGTTAGGTTGGTTCCATATCCTTGCAGTTGTAAGCTGTGCTGCTATAAACATGTGTGTGCATGTGTCTTTTTCATATAATGACTTCTTTTCCTTTGGGTAGATACCAAGCAGTGGGATTGCTGGATGGAATGGTAGTTCTCCTTTTAGTTCTTTAAGGAATCTCAATACTGTTTTCCATAGTGGCTGTACTAACTTACATTCCCGCTAGCAGTGGGAAAGTGTCCCCTTTTCACCACATCCAAGCCAACATTTATTGTTTTTTGACTTTTTAATTATGGCCATTCTTGCAGAAGTAAGGTGGTATCTATATCATTGTGGTTTTAATTTCACTGGGGCAAATTTTATAGTATATGAATTTTATCTTGGTAAAGCTGTTTTTTAAGAAGGCTTTCCTCTGTTTGCCTAACACCAAATTAATGTAGTATAAGGGCTAATAAATACTGAGCACCCAAACCTCCATTCCTCCAACAGCCCTCAAGGTGAGGCATATGCTCTCCATTCTGCAAGTGAAGAAATGAAGGATCAGACAGGAAGTTAACTTGCCCAGCATTACCCGACTGGGAAATGGGAGAGGCGGCATTCAAACGCGGGGCTGCCCAAATCCAGTGCCCATCTTTGCTCCATGACATCAAATGCAGAAATGCTGAGTGAGTGTGGGATCCAGACACATGGTAGATGAATACAAAATGAAGTACGGTTGATCCTGGAATAACACAGGCGACAGGGTCACCCTCCACCCCAACACACACAGTAAAACACTGACTATAAATTTTGACTCCCCAAAAACTTAACTACTAATAGTGATAATTGGAAGCCTCACCAATAACATAAACAGTCAATTAATACATAGACTAGTATCAACATATATTCTATGCATTCATGACATACCTAAATTTCTTAATTTTTTCAATATTCCTAGGCTACATAATTCATCTGCAAGTTTTCTCAAATTGTTGCAAATCTCCAAACAATTTTTCCAATATATTTATTGAAAAAAATCTGCATAGAGGCGGGTCCATGCAGTTCAAACCCATGTTGTTCATGGATCAAATGTATATGGAGACTCAGTCGTTCCCTTTCATTTATATGACAAAGACCTGGTGAGTACCTGTTATGTGCCAGGCCATGCTTTATGCACTGGGAATATAGCACTGAACTGAATGAAGTCCTCGTCTTTATGATGCTTACATTTTGGTGTAGTGGGACAGAAACTATATATCTAATTAATGAAGCATGTATTAATACTACATCTGGTGGGGCTAAGTTCTATGGAGAAAAATAAAGCTGAGTATGGGGGACAGAGTACAGGCATGACAACAGGGATACAACTTTACATAAGGCCAATAGGAAGGGCCTTTCTGATAAGGTAGTATCTGAGCAAAGCCCTGAACCAAATGAAGGAGAGCCAGGAGGATATCTGGGGAAAGTGAACCAGGTAGAGGGAACAGCAAAATGTAAAGGCCCTGAGGTGGGAACTGAGCTTGATCCATGTGAGGAACAACAGAGCCAGTGTGGCTGCAGCTGAGAAAGCAAGAAGATGCCACCAGGAAAGAAGGTGGGGAAGGCAGACTGACCCCATCACAGAGGGCCTCATGGGCCACAGGAAGATGAGCTTTCACTCTGAGTGAAGCACCGGAGGCTTTGATTGCAGGTGTGATGGGAATGGATTTGCCCTGTACTTTTGAGACCACATTGGCGGCTGAAATCTACAGAAGAGACAGAAGGGTTTTCAGTTAGAAGTCAAGGAGGCAGCCAGGTCCGGTGGTTCATGCCTGTCATCCTAGCCAGCGGATCATATGAAGTCAGGGGTTTGAGACCAGCCTGGCAAACACAGTAAAACCCCGTCTCTACTAAAAAAAAAAATATATATATATATTATAATATATAGTATATATATTATATATATTATATATATATATATTATATATATTATATATACTATATAGTATATATATAATATATAGTATATATTATATATATACTATATATTATATATTATATATACTATATATTATATATATAATATATACTATATATTATATATACTATATATATATATATAAATAAATTAGCCAGGCATGGTGGCGCGCGCCTGTAGTCCCAACCTTGGGAGGCTGAGGCAGAAGATTCGCTTGAACCCAGGAGGTGGAGGCTGCAGTGAGCTGAGATCACATCACTGCACTCCAGCCTGGGTGACAGAGCGAGAATCCATCGCAAAAAAAAGAAAAAAAAAAAAAAAAGAAGGCAAGGCAAGGCCACAGCAAGTCCAGGGAACAGAGATCATGGGGGCTTGGACAAGGAGGGGCACAAAAGTTGACTGGACAGGGAAACTTTTAAATTCTCAAATGGTGTCGGGGGTTTTAGGCTGTTTCTCCCCAGGGCCTAGCCTCAGCAAGGAGGCAGAAAGGTTCTTTCTCTAAGATGATACAGAAGCCAAATTCCCCTCTGCTTGCTCAGACAAGGCTAAAGATCTCTCAATGCCGGAGGCCATTTCCCATTGCCAGATGAGCCATTTATCCCAAGTTGTTTTTTCATCTTTTGCAAACTGCTTCTCTTTGAAAAATTCCGCTTACTCCACTCACAAATAAATATGCCTGCAGATCTGCAAAGCTGGAGGGAAAAACCCACAGAGCGGGCCAACTGAGGCTGCCCAGAAGTGGTAAAAAGTAGCACAACTGAGAGTCACGCTTTATCCCCAACACTCACAGCCCATTTCGCATCAAATCCTCCTCAGTCATTTGCTCACAAACATGATCACTGGTTCTGGGTCTCAGGCCTGCTGCTGAGAAGCCACCAGGGAATTCTGTAGAACGCCAGAAACCAACCAGCCTCAGCAGGAAGTCAGAGATAAGGGAATTACAATAGCCAGACCTTAGCTCATTTTCCTTTTCCAAAAGCTGGCCTCTGACCCCAGTGCACGCCCAGGGGATGGGTCTTCTGATCACCTCCTTGAGAATCACTCCCTCCTCATCTTGTCCTTGCTGGGAACTAACAGCCCCAGCCCTGGGCTTGGAATGTACACATCCCAAGAGGCTTTTGCTTTTAATAACAGTAATAATAGTAAAAACAATACCTTCTGTTGGCATATTCACCAGGGACCAGGATGGTTTTAGAACCTGTCTAGGCATTATGAACTCACACCTCTGCCCTAAAGAAAGCTGGTAATTACAGATTCCAAACACGCTAATACGTGGCAGTCACTGCTGTTTGTTTTGCTTATTGGTCCAATTACTTGTTTCTTTATTAATGGTATATGCACAAGACATGATGGCCATGAAGAGGGAATACAAAGATGATTTCATGTGTCAAATTTCTAATGAGCTCCTACTATGTGTTCAGCCTAGGGATACAAATACATGGTCCACAGCTGGAAAGAAAATGACACAGAATGGGCTGGGTGCAGTGGCTCGTGCCTGTAATCCCAGCACTTTGGTAGGCTGAGGCGGTGGATTACCTGAGGTCAGGAGTTCAAGACCAGCCTGGCCAACATAGTGAAACCCCATCTCTACCAAAAATACAAAACTTGGCCGGGTGGGGCGGCACACGCCTGTAGTCCCAGCTACTAGAGAGGCTGAGACAGGAGAACTGGTTGAACCCGGGAGGTGGAGGTTGTAGTGAGCTGAAACCACGCCATTGCACTCTAGCCTGGGTGACAGAGCGAGACTCTGTTTCAAAAAAAAAAAAAGAAAAAGAAAATGACATAGAATGAAAAGCAGCCCAGCATAGTGGTTAAGAATCTAGATGGAAGCCTGTTGGCCTGGGTTCAAATCCCAACCCTACCACATCTTGGCTATGTGGCCTTGTGTGCAGTGTTTAACTTCTCTGGGCTTCAGTTTCTTCACGTGGAAGCTGAGAACAACAACAGGACCAAGCCCACAGGGGTGCGGTGAAGACTGAAGGTGGGAATGTTTGTGGAGCACCTGCAACAGTGGCTCACAGTGTGAGGATGGGCTATTATTCTTATGAAAGGGATATATACAATAGGAGGCAGAGGACGACAAGGTGACCCTGGCAAGTGAGGGAAGCAGAGAAGGGAGACAACTGAGCATCTGATCAGAGCCCAAGGCCAAGAGGAGAACATGGCTCAGGGCACAGAGCCAAGAAGGGCCTAATTCCTAGGAATTAGGAGGGGTGGTGCTGTCCAGCCCTTGGGCAGTGGCAGAAAGCAGCGGGAGACCACGGGGGGCGGTTCAGGGTATGGTGTCTAGGCCAGTGATGGACTCCTTCCCCTCGGATCCTTGCTGTTGGAGAAGGAAGGAGGAAGCAGAGGGTGCTTCGCAGGTCAACCCCTCTCCCCATCTTTACCCCCCTCACTCATTGGGCTCTAACCACAGGGGCTCCACCCTGATAAAAATCATATATGGGCCACTTCCTGGACCTGCAACACTCTTCCCCGCCAACTTCCACTTCCTCTTCCCCACCAACTTCCACTTCCTCTTCCTTCTGCGCCTGGATTCACTTCTCAGGAAAGCCTGCGGGGCACCTGACCAGGTAGGCTGTTCATCACTCTCCCACACAGCCCTCTCCCAGTGGTGAGGTAAATATTTGCTTCTGCAACAATTTATTGAATGTTGGGCCCCTGGAAACTGCAGAGGGCAGGACTTCTGACTGCCTCACTCTGTGCAGTACCCGCCCGTCTCCGCCTGGCTGAGGCTCAGCACAGTGCCCGTCCTGCAGATGGCATTCAGGATCTGCCACTTCCATGGGTGGATGGTTTATCCTGAGAAACTCACAAAGGGCTCAGAGACAAGTGAGAACGTAGGGGCACCCGCACAGCTTCTAATCCAATGGAATTCTCAGTGCGTGGTTCAGAAACCCCTAGGGGTCTGTCTCTAACACCCTTGAGCAGAGAGGTCTAGGAGGTCAAAACTATCTTCACAGACTGTATGTGCCTTTCTCAATCTTTCCCTCATGAGTGGGGGTTTCTACATGCTCTGTGAAGACATCGCCCATGGCTAACAGAACACACACCTGTGTATCCTCAGTTTTAATTTCTAATACAGTAAATATCCATAGACATACCCCTATTTAAAAACAAGATCTGTGGAGTGCCTCAGTATCTGTAAGAGTCCTGAGAATGAAAAGTCTGAGAACCATTCACTGTTCCAATCAATCCATTCCCATCCTCCACCTCAGAAGGAAGATATAGTTCCAAAGACGAATCAACACAAGACACTGTTGGATGGAGACGGGTGTTCGGATACAGGAGCACGGCAATCACCCCAGAGTCACAGCAGTGTGGGAAGTGTTCCCACCCACACTGAGACCAGCCCTCAGAGCCTGGGATGCTCCCTCTGGAATCTCCTGCCAGCCCCACCCCCTCAAAGCAGAGGTAAACAGAGGTGGGAAATTCCCACTGCCAACCTCACTTTCCCCACTCCTGGGTGGCAGCCAACTGCCTCCATCATACCAGGCTTCGCGCAGTTCCCTTCCACGCCCTGTAGTTCTGTGAGTGCAGGCCCCAACATGAGCGGCTCCCCTCTGCCTGGCACACCCGGTCTGCCTGACAAACACCTACTCCTCCTGGCAGGCTCTCCCTTCCTGTGGGTAACTCTCCTAAGCCTCCCCAAGAGGCCTGACACCATTCCTCCCCCCACCGCATTCACCACCTCTGGTGGTTCATCTCTGCACTCTAGCCTCACTGCCTGTGTCTCCTGGGAGAACACAAGCTCCTCGAGGGCAGAGGCTGTACTTCACTCATCGCCCCAGCCATAGCATAGTTCCCTCCTGCAACACACCAAGAACACAAGTGTCTATTCAGTGAAGGTTAGAACAAACGAGTGAGCGAATGAGCGAGTCAGTGAATGATGCTTTCTAAGATGACAGTTTATCTTACGTTAGCCACTTTATATATAGATGTTTCCTCTGCAGGGATGACCTGGGCCTTGTTTCCAGGATTAAGGAAGCCTCCCTCCTAGTCTACTCTGAAGAATGAGAAATCCTTCTTTGAGCAGGTTATTTCCCGAGGCAGCTTCCACTGAGGTTGATGCCTATCTACTTCTTGGGATTCTTTGATCTAATTTTCAGAGCAACTTTGTGCCACCTTGTCCCTAAATCTGTGACTCACTCAGCTGCCTCTTCCTCAACCAAGGTGAAGGTACAGCTGAAGTCCCCTCACTACATTACATCCCCTCTTCCCTCCTGGACACAGCAGTGTGATGCGGTCAATGGGAATTAGATTTTGGAGATGGGGCAGAGTGGCACTAGGGGCAGGAGGAAATGTACGAATACCTGCTGAGAAGACAGAATCGATATGTGACAACTGTAATTCTCAGCACAGTAATTACACCATGTTTACAGGGCTCTGCAGAGTCACCCTATTGATTTCGGAAAAGTATATTTACTGCATCAGAAACACAGGTGCAATCCCTGATCTGCACTCCAGTCTTTCATTGATCTTGAACATCATAGCCAGATACAAGGTGCTTTAGCATGCAATCCTGCATCTTTGCCTCTGTGGTTTGGCTCAGCAATTCATTATCCATTTCTGTCTATCTTACCACACCCATTTTTACTCTCAAAAGGTGGCAAACAGAAACATTCATTTATTTACTCAAATCACCGGTTCCTACTTTATGCCAGGTGCTCACCCAGGTGCTGGTGATGCAAAGATACAACTGTTCTTTGGTAGAGTTTCAGAGCACTACCCTTTGTGGCTGACCAAGAGCATAATATTCTAGTGAAAGGTACTAGTTTGAATGTATACTTAAGGCAACCCACAGGATGACAGAAAACATTTGCAAATGACAGATCTGGCCTAGTATCCAGAAAATACAAAGACCTCTTACAACTCAACAGTTAAAAAACTAATAATTTAAAAACGGCAAAGGATGTGATGAGAACAGGCATTTATCAAAAAGATCATGTACAAATAGCCGATAAGCACATGAAATGATGCTTAACATCATTAGTCATTAGAAAAATGCAAATCAAAACCACTTCATACCCATTAGCATGCCTACCATCAGAGACAATAATAAGTGTTGGCGAGGCTGTGAAGAATCCACATTACTGGTGGAAATATAAAATGGTGCAGTCGCTTTGGAAGACAGTTTAGCAGTTCCTCAAAATGTTAAACCTAGAGTTACAACACGACACAGCAGTTCCAATTCTCGGTATATACAAAAGAGAATCAAAAATGCACGTTCGCACAGAAAATTATACACAAGGCCGGGTGCGGTGGCTCACGCCTATAATCCCAATACTTAGGGAGGCCGAGGCAGGCAGATCACTTGAGGTCAGGAGTTCAAGACCAACCTGGCCAACATGGTGAAACCCCGTCTCTACTAAAAACACAAAAATAAGCCAGGCGTGGTGGTGCAGGCCTTAATCCCTACTACTTGGGAGGCGGAGGTAGGAGAATTGCTTGAACCCAGGCAGCAGAGGTTGCAGTGAGCAGAGATTGTACCACTGCACTCCAGCCTGGATGACAAAGTGAGACTCTGTCTCAAAAAAAAAAAAAAAGAAAAGAAAAAAGAAAGAAAAACAAAGAAAATTATACACGAGTGATCGGAGGAGCCTTATTCATATTAGCCAAAAAGTGGAAATAACCAAATGTTCACTGACCGATGAATAAACAAAATCTGTTACAGCCATACAATGAATTATTATTAAGCCATAAAAAGGAATGCAGTACTACCAATAATGTGAATAAACCTTGAAAACATTATGCTAAGTGAAAGAATTGGACACAAAACACCACGTATTGCACTGATTCCATGTATATTAAATGTCCAGAAAAGGCAAATCCACAGACAGGAAGTGGATAAGCAGTTGCCAGAGGGTAAGGGAACAGGGGATGGGAGAGGATTGCTAATGGAGTTTCTTCTGGGGATGATGAAATGTTGTAGAATTAGATAATGGTGATGGTTGTACTGCCTTGTTAATATACTAAAAACCACAGGACTTTACAATTTAAAAGGGTGAATTTTGTGGTATGTGAATTCTATCTCAATAAAATCATGTACATTTAAGTCTGTTACCTCATTCTTACCTCAAAGCCACATCACCCCCAGGGAACTGTGGGAACTGACTTTACTAAGAGAATACACACAATAGCTTCAGCTCACCTGTCAAATGAAGTGAAAGCCAGAGAAATACTTTTTTTTTTTTCTTTCTTTCTCAGATTGGATATAAGCCACCTGTTGGTGGAGTAAAGGGTGGCTCCCTGGCTGTGGTTCCCAAGAAGTCTCTGTCATCAAATTACTAAAGGCAGAATTAGCATTGCACATACCATAAAATTAAGCATTGCCAAAGACTTTCAACAACACATCAGCCCTCACCCCAAAAAGCAATGACTTGGGACAAGAGCAATCAGACTGGTTGTGAAATACAGAACCAAATGAAGTCAGACAACATGTACATTAAATAAACAGCGGGAAGATGCAGTGCATGAGAAATTGAAGAGAAATTAGGTAAGAACTAGGAACCTCATTCTTAGGAGGCTAGAAAGACCGGATGACATTATGGAGCCTGCAGCAAAAAAACAAAGGATCACACACCCATGTGGGGTGCGCCTGCCATACTGCACAACGTTCCCCTGCAGGGGCTCATCTGCCCTTCCTAATAACCCACCGGGACCCTTGGGGATTAGAGACCCCATTTGGTCAAGGCCTGGGATCAATGGCCAGTGACAGGGCTGGGCTCCCCCTGCCTGCCCAGCCAGGGCCCCTGTCCCACGTGCAACACGACTGGCTGTCTTCACCCACCACTGCAGACTGATCTCTGCTTCCCCAGCCCCCTGCAATCCCCTCCACAATACACACACCCGAATCTCTGGCCACAGCAGGCAGCCCTGAGCATGCAGACTCCATACCATCAGGCCTCCCTACCTCATTCCAGCTGCTTCCTCTGCCTGTTACAACTTTCTTCCCCAGGGGCAGCTTCAATCTGCCTTTCTCCTAAAAACCTCCCTTGTCAGGACTAATTTTTCCTCCTCTACATTTCCACAGCAGGGCATTTATCTCTTCCGTATAGAATCCATCACAGTCTGCCTTCTTTTCGTTGTTGTTTTTTAGAGACAGGGTCTGGTTCTGTTGCTCAGGCTGGAGTGCAGTAGCACCATGAGGGCTCACTGCAACCTCAATCTCCCAGGCTCAGGTGATCCTCCTGCCTCAGCCTCCCGAGTAGCTGGAAACACAGGTGTGCAGCACCACGCTCAGCTTGCTTGCTTGCTTATTTATTTATTTATTAAAGCCGGGGTCTCACTATATTGTTCAGGCTGGTCTTGAACTCCAGGCCTCAAGCGATCCTCCTGCCTTGACCTCCCAAGTAGCTGGGACTACAAGCTCATCTGCCTTCTATATTAAAGGCAACCACCAACACACTTTCATAGGGCTTCACAGCTGCCCAGAACCACGCTGGCAATTCACCTACAGTTACTCTTCTTTTGGGGGGACAGAGTCTCACTCTGTCGCCCAGGCTGAAGTGCAGTGGCACGATCTCAACTCATTGCAAACTCCACCTCCCGGGTTGAAGTGTGTCTTGTGCCTCAGCCTCCGGAGTAGCTAGGATTACAGGTACATACCACCA
This sequence comes from Homo sapiens, assembly GCF_000001405.40. Lineage (NCBI taxonomy): Eukaryota > Metazoa > Chordata > Mammalia > Primates > Hominidae > Homo > Homo sapiens. Next base: position 91,949,491 of record NC_000015.10, on the reverse strand, counting down.
CGCTTGGCTAATTTTTATATTTTTAGTAGGGATGGGGTTTCGCCATGTTGACCAGGCTGGTCTCAAACTCCTGGCCTCAAGCGATTTGCCTGTCTCAGCCTCCCAAAGTGCTGGGATTACAGTATAGTTACTCTTTTACTCCTCACAACTGCCCTCCGCATGGGTACTACCCTTATCCCCACTAACAGATGAGAAACCTAGTGCCGGATCATGCAGCCAGGAAATGGTGGAGCCAGGATTTGAACCCAGGTAGACAGTCTGGTCCTATTGGTCACATCCTTCCCCCCAGCGCCAGTCTCTATGCCAATTTGGGTGTGTGTCAGAGTTATCTGTGTGCAGAAGCAGCTGCACACAGTCTAGCCTTTTTGATGCACCCACCCCAACCACACCTAGATACCTGCATGCAGAGGGTCAGCACTCAGTAAGGACATCAGAACTGCATAAATACTCAAGGATAACAATGACATCTGCCAGAGGGCAGGGAAGTTTACACCAGGGATAAAAATGGAGGGAATGATTCCCCCAAAAGGTGAGGTAAGCAGAAATAATAGTAAAAAAAAAAAAACCAAAGTATTGATTCCTAAATGGATGACAGGTTCCTCAGGTTATTAAAGGAATTGAGGATGGATGGTGCTCTGCAGGCTCTGAGACACTTGGCAAGGAGGCTGGCACATGCCACCCAGAATATCTTTGGGGTCATTAGTCAGGATACAGGACCCAAAGGACCCTGACTTCCAACTTTACATCCCAGACTGACTTTCCACTTCCTGTGCCATGGCTCTCCTATTCCTTGGACGGCCCTCTCTTCTCAGGGCAGGAAAACCCAGCCCTCATGTCTGTAAACACAGGGCACCAGAGAGTGGCCCATGCAGGCATCCCTGATTAATTGCCTGTACTGTTTTGAAAGTTTTTCAGCCTTCCTGCAGAGTCTCGTGCACATTCGGCCCTCTCCTGACTTGCACTTCCTTGGGAGAACACTTAGATTAGAAAATCCCCAAATTCCTAACCAATGACTGCTGCTTTCCACCCAGGTGGTGCTGTGTGCATGCCGGCACTCCTACAGAGCCTGTAGGCTTATCTGCAGGAATAGGATGCTGTGGCTGGCACCACACATGCGGCCACTTCTAAACTTGGCAACAGCTCGAGCTCTGGAAGCCCTTCTAGGACAGCTCAAATGCACCTCCCAGGAGCACTACGCAGGGTCACATTTGAGCCCACTGTGGAGGGACCAGCTGGTTGTATTCTCATGCGCCAAGCAGGAGTGGAAAAAGCTTCCCGGAGGTCGGCATTCATTAGCCGCATGGCACTGAAACAAAGGGCAGGTAACAAAGGGCCAGGGCTTCCACCCACTTTCTGGCTCAGACTTTTATTAGGGTGTGGAAAGCTGAGCAAGGAATGCAGAAGTCAATCTCTATTTTATCTCCATTCGTCTATCTGTCATCTGAATTCTGCTTCTGCTCCCACGGCCCTGCTGGAACACCTAGTTGGGAGGATAAACAATTCTCACATGGAACTGGAAAAGCCCCTGCTAACTGGGCTGCAGTCACTTTCGGTCACCTGCACGGGGGCCAAAGGGGAATTGCCAGCAGCTGTGTGTCAATAAGAGCCCCAGGATCCAAGACAGCACTCTGCAGTGTACAGACCGACCCAGGGTCCCAAAGTCACCTGGCTGCTAGGGCCAAGCAGGGGGTACTAACGAGGAAAGCAGTCTGGGAGGGCAATGGGGCCATCGGAGCAACCTGCCCCGTCTAGCTGCTGCACAGACGCTTCTGGCTTCAGCTATTATTGCTCCAGGAGAAGCCTAGATCCAGAGTGAATGTCGGGAACTAACTCACATTTTTAATAAACACTCAAGTGGGTTAAACAAGTGACAAAGGCCGAAGGCAACGATCTGTCGGCCCTATCTATAGTCTACTTCCTGCCCACAATGACCAGGCTCCTAGTGTCATCATCTCAAGACCTAGAAGGATTTAAGAGCTCTCCTCACCCCACAAAAACACTCCAGAGCAGAGAAAAAAGGGAAGAAGGAGTATAGCTTGTCCAGGCAACAAAGCACCACCTGAGTGAGAAGCTAAAAGACACTAACTCTGCCAGCGGCAACCAGACCAAGAGCACGGGAGCTTGTTCGGGAAAGGCCTGAGGATTCCCACAATTTCACAGAATTGGAATTCACAAGCTGAATTTCAAAGATAAGCTGCTTTTCCTATGTCATCGTCACCATATGCCACAGAGCCTCGGAAAAGACGGTCCTCGACAAGGAGGGGTCGTATGATTAGAGGTGCACCCAGGAGGGAGGTCCCAGAAGGGGCAAGCATGGATATTTCAAAGAGCGAAGCTTCCTTTGCCCTGTTGATCTGCCCTCCACAGCCCTCTCAAGGCCAGGGAAGGAAATACACAGGGCCAAAGGCCAAAATAACATCCTGTGGTCACTCGGGACCCGATGACAGGAGCTTGCTTTGTGCTGCTTTAAGGGGTATGACTGGGGATGGAAGAGTCCTCCGTGAGCACCATTGACTCATCCTGTCTTGGACTCATGGACACATTTGATTATAAACTTCTTCCAGCAGCACGCACGGCAGGTCCCCACCTTTGCCATTCCACAATGGCAGGTTCCGTTGGCTAGAAGAATGTTTGCAGAAGGACGCCGACCTGCCCTTCCTCGGAGGGGAATTTTGGTAACTCCAGTCATTTGCTCTTACCCCTTGGCCTTTAAGCATTATGACAACTAAACTGGGAACTGGGGGTTCTGACAGCATGCTTCCTTTTTCATGTAACTGCATCATAGACATATTTAGGAAAAATGAAACAGTATAATCCTCCCAAGTCCTTCTCCTTAAGTGCATTGCACACTCAACCCATACTACGAAGTCCTATTTTTTCACTTGGTTCTCTACCACATGCATTCCAAAGTTACAGAATATTCTTCTGACCACTACCTAATATTTGGGAAATATTCCATCATTTTCATATAACATAACTGACTGAACCATTTCCCTACATACTGGCCACTTTCAAATCTCTCCTGTTTGCCATAAACTCTGAAGGATGTTTCTGTCTACCAGGGCCCGGAGTGCTCCTCACTGGTTCTTGGCACTGCCTGGAACACAGGGTATCTGGGAATCAATGGAAGGTAACACGATCAGATTCACAGGCTGCCCAGGGCTGATCTCACTGGTGAGAGTGTAGGTTAAAAATCAAAGACGTGCAGCCTGGCTCCCTGCCACTGACCAGCTGGGTGACACCAGCTGAGTGGCTCAACCTCTCCGCAGAGAAGACGCTGCCCTAATTATCTCTAAGTCTTCTCAGCACTTGCATTACAAGAGGCCTGCTCTCAGCGTCCACAGAACCAAGGTGACCTGGGGACACACTCCCTGAAGTAAGAAGTCCATACTGAATCCATGCCCACAAACTAGTGCAGGATCATGCCTGATGCTTTTACTTCGCTATCACCAAGTGATATTTATATGTTCAAAGAAAATGACAGATAGTGCTTAATCAAAATAAGAGGGAAAAGGGATGAGTGTTTGAGAAAGTGAAAAGCTCTAGGCATTATCTGGGATTTTTCTCATTGTCTAAATTCTCTTCCCTCCCTCTCCATCACAATCCATCAGGAACTCCTCTCAATTCTGCCTTGAAAATCTCTCCAACCTTCTCTGCCTCCTTGGTAGCCCAGGGTGACATGTTATCTTCAGTCGCCTCCAAATCAGTCACCCAGACCCATTAGCACAGTAGCCAGTCACCATCGGATCACATTGTTCCTACCTAAACCCTGCAAGTGGATTCCCATTACACTCAGAAAAGCACTCTGAAACTTTCCTGCAGCCAGCCAGGCCCTGTGGGGCCAGCTGTGGCCACCTCTCCAACTCTCCATCTCCCTCTGCCCCTGGGGTGTTATTTTGGCATAGTAACTTTCTCTCCCTTTCCGCCACAGGACCTTTGCATATGCTGTCCTTGCTGCCTTCGGTGTTTCCCCTTCACAGCACTCATTACAACTTGCCGCTATTGTGTCTGTTTACGTATTCACTTATTCATTCACTTTTGGCTGTCTTCCCTATTAGAATGTAAACGAGGCCAGGGTCCTTATCTCCTTTGTTCATCACATTCCCAGTACAGAATCCAGTGCCAGCCACGTAATTTTTTTTTTTTTTTTGAGATGGAGTCTCACTCTGTCTCCCAGGTTGAAGTGCAATGGTATAATCTAGGTTCACTGCAACCTCAGCCTCCCAGGTTCAAGTGATTCTCCTGCCTCAGCCTCCCAAGTAGCTGAGATTACAGGCACACGCCACCATGCCCAGCTAATTTTTGTATTTTTAGTAGAGACAGGGTTTCACCATGTTGGTCAGGGTGTCTCGAACTCCTGACCTCGTGATCGCCTGCCTCGGCCTCCCAAAGTGCTGGGATTACAGGCATGAGCCACCATGCCCAACCAAAAATATTTAATAAATATCTGTTGGGTGAATAAAGGGAATATACAGTTCATAGCTCAGAACAAAAACTGTTCAAAGACAATTCAATTAGGGCCTGAGTCCTCATTCTAAGTTAAAGAGAATATTGGAGAAAAGTTGAAATTTGGGCGTGGCAGAGGAATCTTAACATGTACTACAGAAAGCTTAAGGGAAGTGCAAGGTTTCTGTTGCACCCAAAAAAAGAGGGGGAGAGAAAGAGAGAGAGAGGGAGCCTGCTCGTGCCTTTCCCCCTCTGGATGGCCATCATCAGTTCTGCAGGGAAGAAAAGCCCCCTCGATTTCTCCACATTCCTTCGTGAAAGACTCAGATGTTCAGAACTCAAAGCAGGCTCCTCTTTGAAAAGCATCTCGGGGGAGAGTGGGAAGGATTACTCTGACTCCTCCATATCAGAGATGCAAACCCTCCAGGACTTGCATTGTCATAATATCCGTGGCTGTCTGCTTGTCCATGGCTGAGCGGGGTGACAGAGTTCCAAAGGGAGCTGGCAGGACTTGTGACGGATCACTTGCTAAGTAAGCACAGAAGCCAAAGCCACTCTGAGCCCCACGCTGCAGCTGCTTACTATTCTGTGAAGCTGGTACTGAGAAGAGGGTTCACCCAATGCTTTGTCTCACTTTGGTGGATAGGTCTGGGAGCATCCTTCCAATACTGCTTTTCTCCCCTTGGCCATGTCTGTCTTGCCTCGAAGCCCAGAAATCAGGTACTGAATCTGTAAGGGGCTCACATTCCAAAGGGGGAGCCCTGGAGACCTAAGGCAGCTTACATCTTAGGAGGGACCTTGCACAGGGATATGGTAATCATACAAATAATGGTGAACACTTACGTGAGGGCTTCCTATGTGCCAGTGGCTGTTTTCAGTCCTTTGTAATAGATCAACATACATCAGCAACCCTAGGGAGGCAGTTTATAGATGAAGGAAACTGAGGTACAGTGAGGTTGTGCAATGTGCCCAAGGTCATCCTGCTAGTAATTATATCAGACAAGATGTGCAGGTAGCAAATGGCACGCTCAAAAGTTTCCAATGAAGAGCAGCTAATGGAGGTCTATTGACAGAAGTGAAGGCAGAGCCAAGGGACCCACCGAGGGATGCTAAGGCACCCAAGACAAGCAACATGGGAGGCAGTCACCAGAGGGTAGCCCTGAAGAGGCACAAAGAGGGAACCAGGTCATTGGAATCCAGCAAGAGCTGGCCTCTGGGGAGAGGAAGCCAGCGATGCCCAAATCATGACCTAGCACAGATGGAGGGAATACATTCCCAGGCCATTCTGTGTCCTCTGGGGCTCTGGCTTCTTCCTGGAGCCTCCTAGTCACCTCTATTTTATCAACAATGAGACATGAAAATTATGCACTGGGTATGAAAAACAGTATGGCGGTTCCTCGAAAAATTAAACATGGAATTACCATATAATCCAGCATTTCCATTTCTGGGTGTAAGCAAGAGAATTAAAAGCAGGAACTCAAAAGACATTTTGCACACCTATGGTTCATAGCAGCATTAATTCACAGCAGCCATAGGTGCAAGCAATCCTAGTGTCCATAGCAGATGAATGGATAAACAAAATATGGTTTACACCTACAATGAAATATGATTCTGCCTTAAAAAGGAAGGAAATTCTGACACAGGCTACAACTTGGATGAACCTTGAGGACATGATACTAAGTGAAGTAAACCAGTCACAAAAGGACAGATACTGTAGGGTTCCACTTCCAGGAGGTAACTAGGATAGCAAGACTCACAGAGACAGAAGGAAGCACACTGGTGGTTGCCAAGGGCTGAGGGGAGGGGGAATGGGGAGTTGTTTAATGAGTGCAGTTTCGGTTTTGCAACACGAAACATTCTGGAGATTGCACAACACTGGGAGTGTCCTTAACACTACTAGGCTGCACACTTACAAATGGGTAAGATGCTACGTTTTATGCTATGTGTCTTTTACCATCAATTTCTATAAAATGGAAATGAGACTAGACCTGAGGTTTTCAGTGTGCTCTGTGGAGACCTGAATTAATTACAAGGACAGAAGGTCAAGGGAGATGCTTTTAGGAGAGAAAGGGAGGCAGAACGAGGTCAAACGGCTGGGCCCTGGGCCCCACGCCCACTCGGGCAGAGCAGTTCTGCTCTGTCTGATCAATAGGGGAACTCCCCTTAAGATTTCCAGCAAAGGGCTGGGTGTGGTGGCTCATGCCTGTAATTCCAGCTCCTTGGGAGGAGTGATCAGTGACCTGATCACTTTAGGTCAGGAATTTGAGACCAGGCTGGCCAACATGGAGAAACCCCATCTCTTTTCAAAAATTAGCCGGGCGTGGTGGTGCACGCCTGTAATTCCAGCTTCTTGGGAATTACCTTCACCCAGGAGGTGGAGGTTGCAGTGAGCTGAGATTGGGCCACTGCAATCCAGCCTGGTCGACAGAGCAAGACTCGGTCTCGAAACAAACAAACAAACAAACAAACATACATTTCCAGCAGAGTTCTGTTGCAAAACAAAGTTTGAAAACCAGTGAGCCTGGGCATCGTCAATCTAAGAGGGATGGCCACTGACACACAACTCCAGGCCACATCCAACTACGGTCTCTACATGGTGCCCCCTGCAGTTGTGCCATAGTAGCACTGCTAAATGGCATGTTTTACCTGCACAGCTATAGGAATATACATAAAACAAAATCTCAACGATGGACAGGTGTGTGTTCTCATATCACCACTGTGTAACAATATCTAATCAAGTCCTGGAGGCTCTGAAATGCCTGCTATAGATCAGACATTGTGGGGTTCAGCAGTTGCTACATTTTTGGATTTCACAGAAGAGTCAAATATAAAATATTGAGGGGTAAATGACAGAGGTGCCACCTTTTTATTTCTACAAGTAAAATTTTAATAAGAAAAGCTGCCGTGATCCAAAATTATGATTTCCTAAAATTAGGTACATTTAAACAGCAAAACAGTAGGTGGTGGCATTGTCTAGAATAAAGAACAAGACTCTAAATTGAATAAATTAAGCTTATGACAAACTCTCCACCTTGTACTGTTCTCTCATTTTTGTCGTGGATGGGTAAGACCTAGCTCAAAGGCAGGCAGTCCTCAGCCAGTACGCTGGTGCAAGCCCCCATTTGTAGCCTGAGAGCTGCCCTCCTAAGACCAGCCCCCAGCCCTCACTCTCAGAACTGCAGATGCCCATAAGCCAGTGGCATTTATGCAGCTCCTACAGTATGCAAAGCACTGCATTGGGCAGAGGAGAGAGGGAAGCCTGAGCGCTCTCAGATGAAGTTGCACACAGACAAGCTCCATGAAGGTTAATGAATAGAAGATATTTTAAACATAAAAATTAAAAAGGAGGAAAAATAATTTTTTTAAAGACAAAGAGAAACAAACATCCCGAGTAAGAAAAAGTACAAAACCCATGGGAGATTAGAAGCTTCAAAACCTCCAAGACGAAGGAAGAGAAAAGATTACTTACTGAGTGAAATAAACCTCTGGTTCATCTAATTGCCAAGAAAGTGAGGCTCAGAAAAGCTAGGTAACTTGGCCAAGGTCACTCAATCAAGGCTCAGAGTTGAAGTTTGTCCTTCCCTAAGGCCAAAGGAACCAGGCCACCACCTCAACGAGTGACAGCGCCACTCCCGTGACACAGATCTGCTGGGTGGCAGACCCCACAGCCTCCCAGGGAATCTCAGGTCTTTGGGCTCAGTCCTAGCTGGTCACTCATGCACTGATTCAGTGTCTCTCTCCCACCCCCCAGCCGAGCCCCGCCCTGCCCCAACACACCTAAACCAGCTCACATTCCCTTCTCAGGAGAACACTACAACCTTCCGGCCAGGCCAGTGAAACAAGCCTACTTTCCACCTGCCCTGGAGCAGTGCTGCCCACAACCAGGCAAGGGAGCCTACAGAATTAATTTCCCATTGTAGCTGCCTAACAACCTCTAATTGCACGGCCAGAGGCTTGCACGTTAATGTCAGAGAAAATGGTCATAAATTTTAAAGGGTGATTTCCTTTCCACCCACTCCCTCTACCTTCACTTCAATAAATCACCCTCCTAAAACGGCAGGGTGGCAAAGCCCAAGGGCAAAGGTCAAGGGGGCCCCTCTTGACCTGATCCCTCATTAACATTTAGCAGCTCCCAAGTGGAATGTTCTCAAGGGTTTCCAGAAATGCTGGGGTGGTTAGGAGGGGGCAGACACCTTGCTCAGAGAGGCAGCAATCAGGAAGCAGAATATTCGCTCATTCACCACTCACTCACTCACATCTCCCCATAGAAAGGGGGATTTACACAGGGCATTCATTCTCTGGGTTGTGGAGGATGCCCCTGAACCCTGATCAATACTCACAGGCACACTGGTACAAACACAGCCAGGAGGAAACAGTCGACTCACATGAGCATGTGAGTGTGTGTCAGGGGTTTTTTGAGTGACAGAGGGTGCCAGATGAGTGGTGCTCTTGGATCACCCTGTCACAAATTTCCTGAACCACAAAAAGGGCCATCAGTTTAAGCACTGATTTGAAATTCACTATGCCAACTGATTCATTTCTGTAAGCACAGAAAGGCCCCTTGGCACTGTGATATGCACCTGGGTCTGGAGTCAGTGGCCCCTGGGGACTGGCTACAACCTCTTTAAGCCAATGTCCCTGAGTCTGGATCCCCTCTTCCATAAAAGCTGCTTGGGGGAGTCTCACGGGCTGTGAAGTGCTCAGCAAGGTGCTGGCACAGACTCAGGCTTGGCAAACATTGTCATCTATTGGATTGCACGTGTATCAGAAAGGGCAGGTATCAGGACCCCGAGGAAGGCACCAGAAACAGACAGGACACTGACCTGAACCTAGGCCCAGAGACACAGGAGATCTGAATGGCTCCAATGCCAGGCAGGAGCTGCTGTCATTGGATGTGATGCTAGGAGAGGAGGGAAAGCAAGTTTGAAGTGGTAGGGCCAGGAACAAGGAGAGAAGGAAATGAAAGGCAACAAAAGGAAGAGCTTAGGGCCCAATGGGAACATGTGGTGAGAGCTCCCGGTGCAAATGGTAGGGGCTGGGTACATAGGCTCCAGAGCCTGACTGCCAGGGTTCAAGGTTGGACTGCTACTTTCTAGCTATGTGACCCCAGGCAAGTGACTAGGCCTCTCTGTGCTAAGTAGATAGAACCAGTGTCTGGCCCGTGGGAAGAACTCAGTAATTGCTAGCTGTGTCACATCAGCAGCGGGCTGGCATGGCTCGAAGCAGCACCCTGTGAGCTACGGGGGCTGCTGATGTCTTTATAGCAGCGTAGAGGTCCTGGGCAAAGGTGTGGAGGAGAATGGAGGAGGCGGGTAGGAGGCAAAGACTGACGGGAAAGAGTCCAAGCTATGACTGGAATGCTGCAGAGGAGGAGGGAAGAAGCCTGGCACCCCCTCTGTCACTGCCTGCTGACCTTCATGCAGGACCCATGAAACACTTCATTAGGAGGTGCTGGAGCTGGCAGCAGCGTGGCATCCATCTGTGGCTGAGCATCTGCCCACCTCTGCCAGGCCTGGCTGCAGCCAGCGAACCATGGGGGAAGGTCTGCCCAGCCCTGCAAAGCTGGGAGGTGGAGGCTCCTGCTGCAGAACCACATTCTTCTGCTATAGCGCCTATATGATCTGTGTCCCCACCCAAATCTCATGTTAAGTTGCAATCCACAATGTTGGAAGTGGGGCCTGGCGGGAGGTGATTGGATTATGGGAGTGGATTTCTCATGAATGGTTCAGCACCATCCTCTTGGTGCTGTTCTTGTGATAATGAGCGAGTTCTTGATCTGATCGTTGAAAAGTGTGTGGCACCTCCCAATTCTCTCTCTCGTTCCTGTTTTGGCCATTTGACGTGCCTGCTCCTCCTTTCCCTTCTACCATGATTGGAAGCTTCCCAGAGGCCTCCCCAGAAGCAGATGCTGGCACTAGCTTCCTGTAGAGCCTGCCATACCATAAGCCAATTAAACCTCTTTTCTTATATATTACTGAGTCTCAGGTATTTCTTTATAGCAATGCAAGAACAATCTAATACAGCACCCAAGGCAGCTTCCACAAGTAGAGCAGGGGACAGGCCCAGATGAGCCCAGAGGGGGGCACAACATCCCAGCTACGTTTAGAAAGTCTTGGGGGCCTGCCCTTCCCTACCCAACTTCTCCGGACTAGGATAAAACCTCCTGGTGGCCTATGCTTTTTCCCCTGATTAACCTTCTGTGGTTCCTAGTCTTACCATGTTCCATAACTCAGAAATGCAACAAACAGCCCCCTGCTGTCTAGAAATTTCAAAAGTGTCAATCACTGAGGTGAAGAGCATAGATTCTGAAGCCTGGGTTCAAATCCCGCATCACCACACACTAGCTGGGTGATCGTGGGCAAGTTAATCTCTCTGGCCTCAGTTACTTCATCTGTAAAATGTGAACAACAGTACTACCTTTTATAGTTGTCTGGAGGGTCAAATCAGCAAATACGTGTAAAGCATTCAGAGTAGCCTGACACATGGAAAAAGCTACTGTAATGATATAAGGAACCATCTTGTAACTGTGACACAAATACCTAGATACCAAAAAAAAAAAAAAACAAAAAAAACCAATGTTTAGAGTATTCCAAGTTGCACTGTTGCACATGAGCTAATCCATCCTACACACAGCTGCTGAGTTAATCTTGCTCAAATGCCATTTCGTCTCATCACTTTTTAACTAAACGGGTTGCCAAATTACTACCAGGAAATTTGGGAGAAGGAGGAGAGAAGGAAACTAACACTTACTAAGTACCTTCTCTATACTGGGCCCTGCACTGGGATTTTCTAGACAATACCTAAATTTCACAAGAATCCTCATAACGCAGATAGTATTACCCCATTTTAATCATGAGCACACTGAGGCTCAGAAAGCTCCAAGTGGCTTGTGCAGGGTCACTGGCAGAGATGGCATTTGAATTCATCTCCAAAAACTACTTCTCTTTCAATAATAAGAGCAATATGCAGAGGAAGAAGATAAATAATAATGACGAAAGCTAATTTTCCCTGATTGCTTCCTCTGAGCCAGGTGGGAATCTGAATGTTTCACCTGTATTAACTGATTCATCCTCAGAACAGCCCGATAAGGTAGGTACTCATAACCCCATAAGGTAGATACCGCCTCCAAAATTTACAGATGTGAAAACCAAGGTTAAGTCAATTATGCAAGACTGCATAACTAGGAAGCAATAAAGTTGTTCTAATATCCTGTTCTCATTGTCTCAAATTAAAACTTTGCATAACCTGTGCTTCCCAGAATGTCCCCCTCCCCTTCTTCCCTTTCCACAGATTTATAAGCCTCACTCCCACTTTTTTTTTTTTTTTTGAGATGGAGTCTTGCACTGTCGTCCGGGCTGGAGTGTAGTAGCATGATCTTGGCTCACTGCAACCTTTGCCTCCTGGGTTCAAGTGATTCTCCTGCCTCAGCCCCCCAAGTAGCTGGGATTACAGGCACCCACCACCAGACCCAGCTAATTTTTTGTATTTTTAGTAGAGATGGGGTTTCACTATGTTGGCCAGGCTGGTCTCAAACTCCTGACCTCATGATCTGCCCACCTCGGCCTCCGGAAGTACTGGGATTACAGGTGTGAGCCACCATGCCTGGCCCACTCCCACTTTTTAAAATGCAGCTCAGAAATCCCCTTGCACCTGGCTGCCTCCCAGAGACCCTTCATGCTTTGCGGGCAGAACAGTCAAAGCTTCTGCCTCCCGCCACTTGTTCCCCATGGGGCCTGGCACCTAGAGAGTGCTTTGCCCGTGCTACCTGCCCCCTAGGTAAGGCAGAAAGCTGACAGCTGAGCACAGGAGTCCTTATTAACGCCATCTCTAATGAACCCTCAGAGCTCATAAAGCAGAAACACATTTTAATGTAAGTGGGTGGTTTCCTTTTACATCGTCAGCTGGGAAGACAGCCGGTTATTTAGCTACAAATACACAGCTGACACCCTTCACCCACTTCTCATGGAGATAAAACCCAAAAGAAAGGGAGACAAAGGCATCCTGGCTCTCTGGCCCCTTTCAGGATGGATTCTTCCTCTTTGCAGATTCAGGGGGCACAGGCTGAACAGGATTAATGATCTGTACTCAGCAACTTAAATGGAAAGCCTTATGTGCCCCATAATCACAGTGACCATATTTGTGGAACCCAAATTGGGACATATGGTGCCTACGAGAGAAACAGGACAGAATATCGAACTCAGGAATGTCCTCCTGGGGGCTAAAGCAATGGAGGAAATACAGCCTCCTTCACCCAGAGGGTCTGCACAGGAGACTGAGACTAAAAGGCACTGAAGGGACCCTTGGCCACCTCTCAGGACAGCCTCAGCCTTCACCTTGGAGAAACTCCTACTCCTCTATGTATCTGCAAGGGCTTCCTCATCTGTGTGAATCCCATACTCACTGAAGTCTGTACATTCCTGTAAGCCGCACGACATGCATTCTTTTCTATTTGTAGAAAAGAAACTGGGATCAGGAAAAAAGTTCCAAAATAAAACACGCAGTCATCAAATCCCTCAAAGTTTAAACCCTCCAGGCCAGAGCTATCCATAAGAAATTTCTGCAGCGACAGGAATGTTCAACAATCTACAGTCTCCAAAATGCTAGCCAACAGTCACATGTGGCTACTGGGTCTTCGAATCTAGCTAGTGCAAATGAGGAACTGAGTTTTTCACTGTATTTGGCTTTGTTAATTTAAATAGCCATATGTGGTTAGTGGATGCCATATTGGACAGTGCAGCTCCAGATCATAGGACGAAAACCTCCTATAGCTTAAATCTAGAAATCATGTAAATTAGTAGATTGGGCTTGTGCCCAATCCTCAATTTAATAACAACGCATTGAGCACTTACTATGTGCCAGTCATGGCACCTATTCATGTCACTTCCTATAATCGTTACAGCATCTCTAATAAGAGACACAGTATTATCATTCCCGTTGTATCTGGGAGGAAGCTAAGCTACAGAGCTAGTCAGGGTTAGGAGCAAACCTTGACCATCTGGCTCCAGAGCCCTCACCCTCAGTCACTAACCCACTTGTGACTCCTTGCTCGATGATCTGCCTATGTTAGGAAGGGCTTAAGCAGTGCTCTCTCCATGATAAGCTGTGCAAACTTTAATAATTAGGTCTTATATTTCCTCTTATGTTTCCCAGGCTAACTGTGGTGTCCCTTGAAACAGTTTTAAGGTCCTGAAAGACCCCACTGAGATTGGTTAAACAGAAAAAAAAACAACTCCAAGAAGAGGCCCAGTGAGAAGTGTAAAATCTCCTAAAAGAGTGACCACATATAGGCACAGATACCTGCTCAGCAACTCAGTCTCTGCAACGCAGGTGAAACCTCTTGAGGATTCCCCAGGAAGGAAGTGGCAGGCCCTTCTCTCTCCCATCCACTCACCACTCCAGAGTCTACCACCTTGCATGAAAATTCAGAAGAGAGGAAAAAGCTGAGGCGTTACTCCATGTCTAGCACATCATACTTGCAAACATCAGGCTGGTTGAACTCAACAATTCCCATCCTAGTAGCTAATAGGGGTGGGCTAGGTTTTAAGGTAAGGGGTGGGCTGAGTGCTGAATGGCTTTTGCACCCCTTGGCTTGACCTTTCTTCTCTAGCCCAGGTCCTGTTTTTTGTGTTCTCTCCCTCCATGCCTCTGATCCTCGGGTCCCAGTCTTCCTCAATGGAGGAGAATTACACCACATTTACAAAAGTCCCTTGTGTTGCCATTTTCCTTCTTGCAACTTAAAAGGCCACTTCTCACCATTGAACCCTTACTATTTCTTATTTATCCTAAGAAGTCTGGGCTGGACATGGTGGCTCATGCCTGTAATCCCAGCACTTTGGGAGGCCGAGGCGGGCAGATCACGAAGTCAAGAGATCGAGACCATCCTGGCCAACATGGTGAAACCCTGTCTCTACTAAAAATACAAAAATTAGCCAGGCGTGGTGGCACACGGCTGTAGCCCCAGCTACTCAGGAGGCTGAGGCAGGAAAATTGCTTGAACCCAGGAGGCGGAGGTTGCAGTGAGCCAAGATGGCGCCACTGCACTCCAGCCTGGCGACAAAGCGAGACTCTGTCTCAAAAACAAAAAAAAAGTCAGGAAATTCACGAAGGACGCCTCCAAAGAGTTTTACCAATCAAAGCTCAATATGTGTTACCATAAAAAGGCGAAGTTATAGTCAGGGCCTTAGTTAGGAAGGGCAGTAACTTACGGAATTATACAACTCACTGGCAACAAAAACTAGGCTTAACATCGAAAAGAAGTTCAACCGGAAAAATAGAAAAGGAAATGAAAAAGAAACCATCTATTATGTGGTAATGAAATTCATCAATGCTTGTCAACCTAATCTCTCTAGCTAATTCTAAAATGGTCCCCATTACAAATAAAAGAGAAAACCCATAGATTTGCAATGTAGTAGTATTTAGAATTTGTTAAAGGTGGTCTTCAAACAAGAGTTGACTCTTTTTGCTATGGCTAGAATTTGAGAATGACAAAACCTGGAGTAAATGCATCAGGGAATACTGGCAAATGTATTAAAAAGAAGTCATTTGGCAAAGAAGTGGTATGGGGCACCCGCTTTTCCCTTTATTCTAAAATCATTAAAACCGGTGCAAAGAAGCATTTTGGCAGACAGTGACCCATGGGTCTCTGTGCTTCTACATGTCTTGCTGGGTATGCCAAGAATGCAAGACCCTGACCATTCACTGCCTAGCCATTTCCCAGTGAGCAACCTTGAAGAAAGAGGAAAGGTATGTCTCTGGGGCAAAGGGTAGGCTTGCTTACTGCTTGACGTCAAAGTAGTGTACTTCCCCAATTCAGTATTCCTCTCCTGTAACACTCACTGGGGGTACAGACATCCACCTGGTCCTCACCATCACCCCTATGGTACTTACAAGGTAAGAAGAACAGACACACATACTGATTATTGTCAATGAGTAATAAAGCCCTTTGTCTCTGATCCAGGAGTCTCATGTCTTCTGAGCATCCATGAAATAACAGTCTAAGTTTTTAGCTTATAGTTAGGTAAAAATCAAAGCCCAGACTCAACACTAAGCTGCAAGAAAAGCCAGTACCATCAGAAAAAGTAAGAACCCTGGGGACAGGGCACGTGAGTATTCAGATCTTTAACATAACCATCCTAGGGTTGTAATTTCCTGACTCATAAAAATCAGAAAATTAAACTCTGGCAATTCTGAAGCAGTGTAATGTGGCATTTAACAGCAGACAACTGTATTCAAGTTCTGCTACTTACTAGCTCTGAGACCTTGGGCAAGTTACCCAACCTCTCTGTGCCTCAGTTGCCTCACCTACAGAATGAGGATAATAATAGTACATACCCCCAGAAGATTACTGTTGTTACAAGAATGAGTTACTTTATGTAAAGCACTGAAAACAGTGTGTAGCACAGAGTGCCACATGTTTGCTATTATTAACATCTCTAAAAATTCAATGATTCTATGTCTCTATGTACTGCTTGTTATCCTGATCCTTTATATACTGCAATATTCTGTGATTTTTTTAGTATGCTTTTTAGGTGAAAAAGTAGAGAAACTGTATAAACTACATTTTATTACAAAAAAGGAAGCTAATAATATATAAATGTATTTGGTCATTTTTTAAAACAGAAAGATAAAATCCAAAAACAAAGAAAAATTGATTACTTCCAAGGTAAGAAATGGAACAGAAATGACAGGCTTAGAAGCTAGAATTCTCAGAATATTCTTGGTTTGTAGATTTGAGTTTGAAGCCCTGTAAATAGCTTACATAATTATATATTTTTGGAAAAGCAATCTATAAAAATCAAAAGCAAAATGAAGCAAACTTAATTGTTCATTGGAGTCATAACTGCACAGAGAGAAGCCATTTTCCATTACTGTAAAACACAGTAATTTTGCTGTATATTTCTAATAGGATATACCTTAAGGAGAAAAATAACCGAAAAAAAAATCTTAAATTTTAAATTGTTTTTAGTAATTGGGGAGGATTTTTCCTCCTTTTCTCATTCCAATTCTAACTCAGGATAACAAAATAGTTGAAATGGGGAAGATTCTCTTAGTAGAAGCAATCAAAGGAGTAATGATGGAATTTAAATATCACCACCCCCAAGGCCATGGCCAAGCATAGCTGTTAACACCACAAAAGCTACATGTGTCCCATGATGGAAGCACACATCATCATCATTGTCACCAATTAAAGATCAGTGCCCCTAAGAAATGAAACCTGAAGCTGATAAAGTCTCTAGATCTAACGACCATGAGAATGGGATTGTGATTATGTTTTGAAATAACTTTCAGAAATAACTGCAAATAGGCCGGGCACGGTGGCTCACGCCTGTAATCTCAGCACTTTGGGAGGCCGAGGCAGGCAGATCACCTGAGGTCAGGAGTTTGAGACCAGCCTGGCCAACATGGTGAAACCTCATCTCTACTAAACTTACAACAATTAGCTGGGTATGGTGGCACATGCCTGTAATCCCAGCAGCTCAGGAGGCTGAGGCAGAATTGCTTGAACCTGGGAGGTGGAGGTTCCTGTGAGCCGAGATCATGCCATTGCACTCCAGCCTGGGCAATAGAGCAAGACCCTGTCTCAAAAAAAAAAAACTGCTAATAAAATGGTATATCTAAAATTTGCTTCAAAATAATCACGGAGAAGGGAGGCCAGGTAGGGGTAGAGATAAAACAAGAAAGGCAACATGCTGATAATTACTGGAAAATGGGCACACAGGGATTCATTCAACCATCCTTTTTAATTTTGAATATGTTTTAAGTTTTCCATGATGACAAAAAATCAATTATTCTATGAAATCTCAATTTCAGGCCAGATTTGATCAGTGAACATTATATTCAAGTCTCATCACTGACCTACTAGGAGGTATGACTTTGCACAAGTTACTAATTCTGCTGAGCCTCAGTTTCCTACTGAGGAAAAACAGCCATTATGAAGATGAAGTGAACAATCATAAAGGCAACAGTGAGCTCAGTGCCTTGCATACGATATGCACTCTCTCAATGGAGCTTCCTACCAGCCAAAGCTTTCTAAGACAGTCACCACTGCAGACTACAAACTACTGAACCTAATCTTCCACCTTGATTTTACACTAAAAGTCTCTTCAATGCTCACATCACTTGCCTAAAAGTCTCCAGCAACAGTGATTTCTTAAAAGAACATGCTTGGCTTTTGTGTGATGAATAGCAATCTCTGTTTTTTCCCTTCATCTACTCCTGTGTGAGTGTGTGTGTGTGTGTGTGTGCGTGTGTGTGTGTTTCCACACTTAAGACACCAGCCGGGCGCGGTGGCTCACTCCTATAATCCCAGCACTTTGGGAGGCTGAGGCAGGTGGATCACCTGAGGTCAAGAGCTGGAGACCAGCCTGACCAATATGGTGAAACCCCATCTCTACCAAAAATACAAAAATTAGCCCGACGCAGTGGTGTGAGCCTGTAGTCCCAGCTACTTGGGAGTCTGAGACAGGGGAACTGCTTGAACCAGGGAGGCAGAGGTTGCAGTGAGCCAAGATCGCACCATTGCACTCCAGCCTGGGTGACAGAGCGAGACTCTGTCTCAAAAAAAAAAAAAAAGATACAACCCAGCAGAAGAAGCAGGGTTTGCCCATTCACAGAGGAAGAGGAGGAGGGGCTACCTGACAGCAGAGGATGCCACTGGCCCCTCTCCTCAGCTGTGAACCTCGGCAAATTCTGAAAATGCTTCATCCTAGCTATATCCAGATGGCCAGTTCGGAGACATCACCTTCCTTTCTGAGGCTGTGAGAGAGGCTTTGTCATGTTATTTCTTTGCCTGCATAATGCATCGCATCAGGGAGCAGCATTTGACACCTATGAAAAACCGAGTTTACGTGAGCTCTTGCTTTGAGGACATGCAGAATGTTGTTTCTTTTCTCTAACAGTAACTACGGTTTGGAAGGCTGTCTCCTTGCAAGGGACTGGTCATTATTCACAATTGTAAAATATTTCTGAGCACATTTGGTCAATATTTTCCAGCTCCACATCTATAAATGCATATGTATCAGCCTGGTGTTTCATTTCATTTTGCCCTTCCTGTTTCAAACTGTTGGCTTTTGCATGACACTCGCTGGTACACTTTGCTGTGAAGCAGGAAAACACAGTAGTTGAGAATATTGTGAGGAGCAAGAACCCCCTTGACTCCAATCCCCAAGGTGTCCCTTTACTCAAGCTCTTTGCATCAGGATTTCCTCCCATAAAGCGCGGCAAATAAAAACTAACTCAGGGGTTGTTTTGAGAATTACACCAGATAATATATGTCAAGAACTTAGCCCAGTCTCTGGCACACAATAAGTGCTTAATAAACATTGGGTGATTTTATTATTACTCCTACAGACAGAAGCTAGGTCTGATTCATCCATGTATCCCCAGCACCTTGTACGGGGACTGACACATCGTAAGTTATCAATTAATATGTGTTGAATGAATGAATAAAATGTAGACAATTAAATTTAACACCTCTGTTAAAATGGAGTCAGGTTATTTTAAGTGTCTCAAAAATACAATACTATAATCTCACCATATGCATTATATTAATACACATAACCATATGGTTATTACTCATTGGGCATGTAACAAAATAAAATTAAATCCCATGCAGAGCTCTTGGAACCTTTGTAACAAAGGTTCCAGAACAACGCACATCTCTCTGGGTTCATAAAGTTCACAGCCTGCTTTGGAACAGTGGCAATGTGAAGGACAACTTGGAGACAGGCTGGATTGGGCACAGTGAAACTCATCAGAGGTAGATGCAGTGGTCCAGTTGAGAGGTGCTGAGAGCTGACCTGTGGCAGGGAGGGGACGAGTAGAGGAGGCTGGGGACCAGACATCAGAGAGGTGCAGGAACCCTGATCCATGAGAGGCTGGAGCTTTTAAATGCAGGAAGAGAGAGGGGAGGACAAGGCTGGTCAATAAGGCAAACCTGGGAGAAAATTAAAGAGATGAATTATGGATTTACTGAGTTTAACACACCTTAGGATACCCAGATGGAGATATACTTTTATAAGGCTGAAAATACATGGCACACCCATGTTCACAGCAGCATTATTCACAATAGCCAAGAGGTGGAAACAACCCAAATGTCCATTCATAGATGAATGGACAAACAAAATATGTTTTAAGCATAGAGTGGAATATTTGGTATATAATATACATAGGAAGGAAATTCTGACCCAATGCTGCAACATGGATGAACCTTGAGAGCAACCTGCTACGTGAAATAAACCAGTCACAAAAGACAGATACTCTACGATCTTATCTGAGGCACTTAGAGTAGTCAAATTCATAGAGACAGAAAGTAGAATGGTGGTTGCCAGGGCCTGGAGAGGGGGTGGAATGGGAGTTGTTGTTGAAGAGGTAATTTCAGTTTTGCAAGATGAAAATGTTCTGGACATCTGTTGCACAACAATGTGAATGTGCTTAACACTATCAAACTGTACAGCTGAAAATGGTTAAGATGGTGACCTGTATGAATATTTTACCAAAATTTACAACTTTTTTAATTAAAAAAAGACTGGAAATATGAACCTGTCATCATAAGCTGGAGGAGCTGAGTCTCCCAACTTTGCACCAATGCTCCAACATGGAACACGTGGTCCCTCACCCAATTTAATCTCCAGACCCTCTCTTCACTCCCCAAGATGGACCAGTAAGAGACTGTCATTTTTTCTGAAGGTCACCAAAACGCTATCTCAATGACTTCGGGAAAATGTGGCTTCAGGACATAGAGTTGGAAGAGAGTTCACCTACTTGGACGTCAAATCCTTGAGGATGCCTTAAGGAGGCCTGCCTTTGCCACTCCCAATCCATCCATCGTGTAACCACCTTCTTCTGCAAACACAGTTCATGTATGTGGACACGCCACTCCTGAGGGTCTTCAGAACACCACAGAGCTCAATAACTGCTCATGCTGATTATTTCCCCATGAGGAAAGGTCTTGGGGATTACATTATCTCTACTTCTTGTTCTTTCTCATGTATTCATCCATGATCCATGAAGTCTTTCTTGCCCTACCTTCTTACCATTTTTGTCCCCGCTGGCGTCTAGTATGTTTTAAAATCACTCCTGACTCGCTCAGAAAAGCAAGTCAGCTTCATCAAGTCTGGGAGTGAAACACTCAAGTCCAAGTTGCATAAGTGCAGTGAATGTATACCAATTAAATGCTGCCAGGCCTGAAGTGTAAACAAAACCGTCTGGTGAGTGAGCTTCTCTCACTTTACTACAAGGAGATTTTGAAAACAACTCACATGATTTTTTTGTGGGAGCAATGCTTTATCTGATGAGAGTTTTTAAAATTCCCACAGAACTAGGCCCTGAATACCCCAGACCCATCAGACGTCTCCTGGCCTAGAAACGCCTCACCATTTCATACTTTACAGCTAAAATGACAAAGCACCGCAGGTGGGTACTATACTGAGAAAGAGCTGTATACCTATTTAGGTAGTTGGGTTGAGTCACTTTTCATACTTAGTGTGACATTCTTGGGGTCCTATATTATCCTGGTGTGGATGTAATCATGCCTGGGGATGGTGGAGGGGTAGCATACGATGGGAAAGATAAGGCCCTTGGGATAACGGAGACCAGACCGGACTGTAGCTTGGGCCGTGCCACTCACTAACCATATGACCCTGAACAAGCTGCTTAAGCCCCATGAACTTTAGCTCCTTTACCTACACAGAAAGAATAACAGCCTCTATCTCCTTGGGCTTTATGAGGAGGGAGTGAGAGAGTATATGCAAAATACTGGTTGTCTGTATGTCATAACAGCTGCGACCCCATAAATGGGAGCTAGTGTATTCAGCGGTATTATGGTCACTATTCAAACTCACCTGTGCTTAACGCACTTGTCTAAATAAGCAGACAGCTGTTAAACTCTCTTTATGATAGTAATGAATCCTAGTATTAAACACACAACCAGTAACAAGGCTGATATTTAAAAATAAAATAAAAGCACCAATGTGGGAGACATTTTCCTCTATGTACTGCCTAATAGCCTTTTTACCTTGTCTTGTCACCAGAATCACAGGTATTAACATGTTCTTCAATCAATATGGTAGATCTACCTTGATGAAGAGAAGGCTCTTTGCCCCATGATACAAATGTACAGCCTGAGGCCAGGGTTGGCGAAATGATTTAGATCTAATAATAGACACCACCAGGTTTCAAAAGGTTCCAGTGTCCATACGCAATTTTAGAATCTATTAGATCCTTGCTGTGTTAATGAGACCTCTTGCTGAGAATCCAAATTCCCTTTGTAAACTCCATTAACAACCCACAAGGCAGGTGGGCAAACGTGAATGTTCTTATGGTAATAGCATCTTGCCCAGAAAGGGAAGCAGGGAGAAATCACACCCATTGGCCCCACTTGCTTGGAACATTACAGAGAGAAAGGGAGAAAAGTATCTCTCCTTGGAGAGCCATCAGAATGAGTGCAACGCCAATCCTCCCTCAGTCCCCCGACACCCGAAATAGGAGGCCGTGGTATAAAATAGAGGGTTTCTCAAATGCACCAACTATCCCATAAAAGGTTTGCCAATAAAAAGTTTGGCCAGTTCATTCATGTCCCCAGAATTGTTTAGTCCCTCACAACTTTCTGCCTTTGTTTTTAATTGCCCCAACAGTGAGTCTTTTTCTTAGTAAGAACACATGGAAAATTTTGACTTTGAGAGTTCAGATTCTATTAATGATCCAAGTGCCATTTTAAAGTGTTTTTGCTTTTAGAACTAAAAAAAAAAAAGTTTTGATTTTCCTATCTGTGCATCAGTTCAAACCAGCACAGAAAATCTGCTGAATATTACCCAAAACACCCACGGTTAGGCTGAAAGAAGGGATGGAAAATTTCAGCCCCAAAGGAATTTTCGGGGGAGTGGAGGGCCGAGGGGTGTCTCCAATGCCGCTGAGAATGCATTCTGACTTTTCACCACAGTTGCCTAAGTGATGCTTATATGCTTCCTGTTGTAAGTACAGTGGCTCTCCAGGGAGCAAAACAAGCTAAGAGCTGAACAGTGAACAACATTCCAGTCTCTAAATGCCATCTGTCACTCCATACAGCCTATCTCACCTCAACTAGCTAGACTTATCTCACCCCAAAATGCCTGTCACCAAAGTCTAACATTAGGTCTTTATATGGTTTTAACCTTCTGTGGGTCATGAACCTCATTCAATCCAGTCAAAGCTTTCCTCCCAGGGTACATATACACGTAAATCTCCACATAATTCGAAAAGGTTATGGCCCCGACTCCCGCAAGGCACATCCAAGAACCTTTAGCTTCAAGCAGCCAACGATGACTCCTGACATTCTGAAGCCAGATTCTTGAATCTGAGCGCTAAAGAAATACATCTCGATTTTGATGAGTGTCCACTAGCCACCCAAGGCTTTGGTATCTTCATATTTGTCTATTATGTGGTTTAAAATAAGCATGGGCGTGCGCGCGCGCACACACACACACACACACACACACACACACACACACACGGCTTGGCAGGAATGAAATGGCAAAGCCACGCTGGGAATGGAACATACTCATTTATTTAGCTTATTCATTCCTGACAATATGAAGTCATTTGAGGGAGTTAAGGTACCTTTGGCAATTGCAGTCAAGTAAAAGAGCCAGGATTGGTTATATTTTTTCCATTCAATAAACGAGCCATTGAATAAACTGAGCATGCTCAACATGCTCCTGCCCACATACGCAATGTGCTATTAAACACTTACTGTTCCTGCACAAAGCCTGCCAACAGGTTATTTTTAAATACTTTTGTTTGTTTTTGATAGGTAGGGAGAAAGGTGGAGAGGGGATACTCCTTTTGGCATCTAAGTCCTGTAACTTCAATGCCTCTGAAATAACGAAATGAAGAGCTAAGCCAACGCTTTCAAGCTAGCCCCTTTCATTTTATGCATAGGGTCAGGGGTTCTTCAGAGTCTCATGAGTGGTTAATCTTTGTACTGTGAAAGAACTAGCACTTTGAGCAGAGAACAAATGCCTTACTTGAGTTTCCCCTGGACTCTATCCCTATTCAAAGATGCTTGGTTATACCTCAAGAGGGAAGCAATCCAGACCAACTCCTATGACATGACAGGCACTCAAGCCTGATGAGGCAGAAACCTGGCAGCTGTAGATGTTGGAAAGGATAATTTATGTGTTCAAGTGACTAGGATTCTAAGGGCTAGATGCTAGCTTCAAGCACGGCTGGATCTAGGAAGCCCTTTTGCTCTCCCTTTTCCTTGGTCTACTTTTCTCTGTAGGCAAGTTCATTCATTCTTAGGCAAGTTCTCTGCATGTGGCAGCAATGATGGACACTGGAATCTCTGGGTATTCAGAGTTCTTTCAGTAGCAGTCCTACAAGAGAAGATGGTCCATTTCTCTCAGTCCACTTCTCTCGCCCCACAGTGGACTCTGATTGGCCCACTTCTGGGGCCTGTCACTGTAGACTACTGTAGACCTTCTCTGTGTCACAATTGACCATGCCCGGACTGACCACATGGCCACTTCTGCAACCCACAGCAACCACCTAAGATGGGAGAGGTAGTTTCCTAGTTA
Organism: Homo sapiens; assembly: GCF_000001405.40. Taxonomy (NCBI): domain Eukaryota; kingdom Metazoa; phylum Chordata; class Mammalia; order Primates; family Hominidae; genus Homo; species Homo sapiens. Next base: position 91,925,492 of record NC_000015.10, on the reverse strand, counting down.
AAAAAAAAAAAAAAAAACAAGGTACTGGACAGACAGACAAAAGCAAATATTCACAAGAGACTCTTCTGTGAGGCATTTTAACACTAAAAAATTATCTAGCAATGAAGAACTTACTTCCCACTAAGGAGGAAGACCATGAACCTCAAATCCCAGTGTTAACAATAGCAAAACACAATGCTCGACAGAAACCAAACCGTTCATGCCATCTGCTCTCACAGAATGCTTCTTGTAGGTGAAAAGGACAAAAAGAAAATGAAGCCAAGATTATTCTCTCTCAGAAAAGTAAACAGTCTTAACTGAAGAGAAACAATACGCATGTTATTAGAGGAAATGTCTCAAAATCTTTTTTAAGAACAATACCTGTGCCACAGTTGAAAAGCAAATAAGATGGGTGTGCCTTCCCCAGTCAGGTGCAGTAAGGAAGCCGGAGTAAAGAAGTAACTAGCAGTATTCTTTGACATCCTTCTGGAAGGAAAATTCCCTCACATGGACTTTCACCTTTCTTCAGGTCATCCTGGGCCTCTCTGGTCCTATTTCCTGCCTATCAAACACTTCAGTGCTATGTTCTAAAGTTTCTTCACAAAGATGCTCTTGCACACACAGTAAATATCTGTAGGCCCCAACCAGCCACAAATGGTTTTGGTTTCTGCATCCCAATACTCTCTTCGGGGAACCTTGAACCGTGCTTTTCTTCCTCTGGCTTAGGAAAATGGTTTCATTTCTTTCCAATCCTGGGAATCCCCATCATTGTGAGGCAGTAAGCAAGGTGTCAGTAGGAGTGGGTCCGCTCAGCAGTGGTGTTACCCTCACTCCTGCCAGGTTGTCCTCTGTTCGTGCAAGATCCCCTGTCCTCTTCCTCCAAATCCAATACCCCTAACATTCAGAACCACAGCGAAGAACACTTTTTTTCTGGCTGTGACATTCACAATGTGCGACAGCTTTCCTTTCTTTTCTTTTTTCGTGTTTTATTTATTTGCAACTCAAAAGATGAATGCAATTTGAAATTGATGGTCTTTTGAAATCAATGAATGCAATTTGAAATTGCCACCATGGCAAGCTACCGTGTGTGTTTGAGCTACCATGTGTTCGAGACATGCTAACCAATGCTGACTCGCAAAGGGCTTGGAGAAGATTTCAATGAGTTGGCAACTCAATCCTCTTGAAAAATACGGATTTCCAGCCTCTCTTAACAATCAGAAGATCTGGAAACACTAACTTTGCACTCCCACAGGGCAACAAATGGTGAAGGACGAGGCAAGGACCAGCTCCCCAGGCTCCACACTGTCTGCTTTTCTCATTCATCAGCTGCACCCCTTCAGCACTTAAGATTGTGACCCCTGAGCAGATGTGGAAGGGGGTTTCAAAACAAGAATGCCAACACCCATAGCCGGCCCAAAGCCCGTCTGCATGACACTCCTGGCCTCACTCATTTATCTTTTGGAAAAAGTCACCGCAGGGCCAGGGGGCTGGCTTTCAGCTCACACTGAATCTATCTGAACTAACCTGAGCTTTTAAAGTTTTCAGCCAACGTCGACAAGGCTAAAGCCACAGAGACATTCATCACCTAAATGCCCAACTAGCAAATTCCAGCATTTCTAGATTGACAAAATAATATGCAATTATCTAAAATGATGTATATTGTTTATGACCCAGGAAAAACTTTATAATATGCCAACTGATAAAAAGCAGGTTTATTTATAGTATGGTTTTTAACTAAGCAAAACGATATACAAAGAAAAAAGGCTGGAATAAAATATACCTAACTACTGACAATAATTTTCTATAGGTATCTGGATTACATATTATTTAGGTTTTCTTATTACATTTCTGTTTTTCTCAATGTTACTAAAATAAGAATACGTTATTTAAAAGAAAATTGAGCTAATATGCTTCCAAATTAAGAAGCGACATGCTAGAACCCAGAAAGCCAATCCATACATCACACTGGGGCAATGGCCATACTCTGGGCTGCCTCCAAATTAATACAAACTGGCTCTCCTCCTGCCTGGGGCAATGCTAGCACTTCATGCACTTTGAGATGAGCCACTGGAGGGGGTCTTCAGGAAAAGAAGAGCGCTGCTGGTTTAATTCAGGACTGAAGAGGTTGCTATTCTCAGCTCTATAAGATGGATCACATCCCAGGCTGAAAATCAGGTTCCAAGGGCTCTTGTCCAAAGATCTGCTCCTGCGTTTAAACAGTTCAGTCATGTATCCATCTGTGCCTTAATTTCTACATCTGGAAATGGAGATGCTATGACCATAAGGATGAAAAGGGCAGCATTTACTGATCCCCACCGTGTACAGGACACCTGACGTTCATGGAAAGCCTGGCCAGGTAGACCAGACCATTTTACTGAAAAGGCAAAAGTCTCAGGGCAATTGGAAACTCATCCAAAACCCAGGAGTCGTGGAGGGGCCAGGATTTCAATTTCAAGACTGTTGGGCTCCAGAGCCCACAGAGTCTTGTCCAAAGGTCACCCAGGCAGCAGGCACAGCGGTGATGCCATGAACCACAGGGCATGAGTTATGAGTGGCTGCGAATGAATGAGAAACACCTATCAGCCCAGGCAATATGGAAGCACCAGGTAAGAGCCACAGGCTGTTTCCTAGCAGGCTGCTACAAACACACTGAAAATGGCATGCGACCAGCAGCTGGGGAGAGGGAATGGAATATGGCCAAAACAAACTGACCACTTTTATAGTGCCATTTATTTTAGAAAAAGAAATTAACGAAGGAAACTTCAATATCAATGAAGTTGCAAGAATATAATGAGCAATGCTTGCTCCCACGAGAGATGGCTTTTTAATTATTTTTTCAGATGAACTTCAGTCACAGTATATTTGATCCATACCCAATCCACGTTCTTTGGAGAGTTAAAACACATTTTACCCAATGTCAAGTTAAAATAAAAACTCATCAGAGGCAAATAACTCTTTGCTCCCAGGGCTCTGAAAGGAAATTTGGTTCTCTTTGGTTGCTGGCCAGTATTCGGGGGCCCTTCGTACTAATCAAACACTTGGCAGATGAAATCTGAGAATTATTCTCTTTGCATTATTAACGGAAACACAGAGGGCTGCACTGGGGTTCAGGATAAGTGATAAACAAAGAAAACGTGACACATTTTTGTGTCTAATACGTGTGCCTCCTGAGTTAGAGCACTTGTTCTGTGTATTCAGGCAAACAGCAAAGCCTCCCTTCTCAAAGAACCCCTTTCCGCTGGCCAGCTCCCATTCTCTCCAGAACATCCATCCTCAGGAGAATCTGCCAGCCTGTCTCTGTGCCGTGTGTGTGTGTGCGTGCACGCGCGTGTGTCTGCCTAACACACACAACTCAAAATTATCTGGTTTCATCTTGATCCCAATCTGCATTCTTAAAACTGCATCATCCACATTTGATACAATTGCACAGAACTATACACAGACACACAAATGAGCACATATAAAACTGGAGAAATCTTGGCCGGGCGCAGTGGCTCATGCCTGTAATTCCAGCACTCTGGGAGGCCGAGGCAGGCGGAGCACTTGAGGTCAGGAGTTCGAGAGCAGCCTGGACAACATGACGAAACCCTGTCTTTACTAAAAATACAAAAAAAAAAGTAACCGGGTGTGGTGGCAGGCACCTATAATCTCAGCTACTCGGGAGGATGAGGCACGAGAATCACTTGAACCCAGGAGGCAGAGGCAGCAGTGAGCCAAGATGGCGCCACTGTGCTCCAGCCTGGGTGACAGAGTGAGACTTCATGTCAAAAAAGAATAAAAAAAAAAAAAAGAGAAATCTGAATAAATTTTATGGATCACAGCAATGTTAACTTCCTGGTTTTGCTACTGTGTGATAGTTACCATGACATCAACAGCAGGGGAAACAGGAAGAAGGATACAGGGGACTTTCCTGTATTTTGCCACAACTTGTGATTCTGTAATTTTTAAAAGTTATTTAAAAAAAAAACTATATCATCAATTCCTCAAGTACTTAGAGAGAAAAATTACAATACAGCTCCTTACCGAAAACTTTTGGCAAAGAGGCAGGAGTGTAGTCTTGGTTTGGTACTAATCTCTTTGGTGTCTGTTATGGGCTGAATAGTGTTCCTTCCCCCAGATTCATATATTGAAGCCCTAACCCCCAGTACATCAGCATGTGACTGACTATATTTGGAGATAGATCCTTTAAAGAGGCAATTAAGGTTAAATGAGCTAATATGGGTGGGTTTAAACCAATGTGACTGGCGACCTTGTAAGAGGAGTAAATTGGATACACAGAGAGACCAGGGATGTGTATGCAGAGGGAAGACCACGTGAGGACACAGGTAGAAGGCAACCATCTGAAATTCAAGGAATGAGACCTCAGAGGACGCCAACCCTGTGGCACCTTAATCTTAGACTTCCAGCCTCTAAAACTATAAGAAAATATCCTTCTGTCATTTAAGCCTCCCAGTCTGTGGTGTTTGCTTAGGGCAGCCCTAGCAAACTAATACAACGCCATATCCCACATCCCCCATTCATCTGGTTTTGTCCTCTGGTAATGAGCTCCCCAGCCCTTGGCATCCCTCTTAAGAAGGAAGTATGGTAGGAAATCCATCAAGCATGGAGCAAAGGTCTTAGCTCCGAAGAGCTAACTAAGCTTTAGATACCATCCGCCTACCCATGAAAGGTTAGTGCTCAACTATTTGGGGAGCCATCAAAATATGGAAGAGGGATAGGGATTATTCATGGTAGATCCAGAGGGCATAACCAGAACCCAGGGTATGGGAAGTTGTAAGGTGGCCTATTTCTAACACAACACTTAAAAAAACCTCCTAGTGGTTACTGCGGTTCAAAAAACAGAATGAATGGCATGTGAAGGTATGGCGCCCACACTGCTGGAAAGAGCTGAGCGAAAGATGCAACAGATCAGTTGCTCCTGCCCCAGATGTCTAAGGTCTGATTTGCAGCCATCTCAGCTCAAAGCACTATGAAACAGGGGTGCAACCTCTTTACAGAACTCAGACCTGAACCGTTAGCTAGGACCACCTTCCTCTCTCTCCATCCTACCTCCAATACTCCATTCTGGCTCTGACACTCATTCTCCATTTCAGCAGCACCTCTCTCCTTGGACTCCAGACACACTGCTGTCTTCCCACCTTCCTGGCTCCTGCTGCAATTTGTATGCCCAGGAGGCTTCGGGCTGTCTCGTGGAATGCCCTGGCTTGCACCTGACTCCCTGGACCGTGCACCACCCTTGAGCTCCCATCCCAGCCTCGTGAGCAGATCCCAGACATACCTGAAATAAGCATCACTTTCAGACCCACAGCCCAGCCCTATCCAGGTAAATGAGCTTGGGTAAGTTACTCAACCTCTCGGAATCACAGTTTACCTATCTGCTTTGTTTAAAACAGCAAATATTTTAAAAATCCATGTCCAACTATAGAAAGTATTAAATATTGTCGTATATATTCAGAAGGGATTATATATGCAGCAATGTCATAGAATAGTAACAAACAAATGCTCATGAAATAGTAAGAGAAATGAAATTACACAAAACATCATTTATCTTGAACACATTTTCATAGAAAAGCATGCTAATGCAGAAGAGAGAATAGAATTGTGTACACCATAAAGCTACAATATTCTCTAATTATTCTTTTTCTACATATTCAAAATTGTAAACGGTGAACATGTAATGCTTTTTAACTAGGAATAAAGTTATTGAGAAATCTTTAGTACTCCCATTTCACCTTTTCCTCCTTGAAAAAAAAAAGGGGGGCAACCTAATGAAAGGGCACAGTAAGCCCATTCCATCATCCTACTTACACTTTCATAAAAAGCAAATACGACTTGTGTTCTGAACTTAGAGAAACAGAAGGACAGCTAAGAAAACTGGGCTAATGGAAGATCACAACATGGAGCTAGAGGCATGACTAGACTCCCAAAGAATGGATTCTCCGACCTCAGTAGGGGCCCAGTGGTCTCCACTGCCACTGCGCCCATGTAGTCACTCTAGGAACAAAGAGTGCCACGTGCCACCCACGGGTCACCGTCTGGCTGCACTGTGAGTCCGGGTGCCGCATGATGCCGCAGTGAAAGCCTGCCAGCAGAGCCGAGTCCCCATTCATCCAGTTTTGTCCCCTGGTAATGAGCTCCCTTGGCTCCCTCCCACACTGGAAAGGACGGGCTGAAGAATGGTGCCAGCCAGAGGAGCCCCTTGTGAATAGCCCATCCAGGAATCCAGGAATCTGGCAGCGGCTCAGCCACAAGAGGCCAAAGCAAGTAAGTCATTTCAGTGGAAAATATCGGCTTGATTCAAGATGGAATGCTTCACTTTGCCCTGGGTTGTAGTGGAAGCTACGACACGGCCACCGATGTACAAACAGCACCCATCTAGTGACCCACAATGCGGGTGACCCGGGGCAGGTGTCATCACCACTGATCTGCAGCCTGAGCTGTGCATGTTGATCATTCTGTTCCCTGCTGACACCCAAAGGGAAGGCTCAGCTCAAGAACAAGCTGGTGTTTTACACATGCCATATTTAGAATCCTTTCAATCTCCACTATAGTGTCACGATTTAGGCATATGACCAGACAATTGGTTGTGGGCCCCTCTCTAGACCAACTCTGCAGGAGCTGGAACCAGGGGTACACATGTTATTCCTCCCCGATGGATATACAGTTACACCTACAGTCCCAGCATCAGTCCCTTGAGACTTTCCTCCTCTTCAGGGAGTTAAGAGGCCAGAATTTTATATCAATCCTGTTCAGTGGGCTACCCCAAATACTGTGAAGTAAAGTTAAGTGGCTTCAGGAACTAGTGCCATATTAGAGGAGATAAACTCTGAAATATTCTCACTACCACAAACACTTTTTTTATAGCTCATACAATAAATAAATGAACCAGTTATACTCTGCATATGCTATGATCTTAAATTATACCTGGAGAATAAACCACATATGGAATAAAAGGCCCCCTATTGAGGCCAATCTATGCAAAAGACTTGTCCTCTCCTGATCCCGATAAACACAAACCCATGTAAACCAGTGCAGAGAAACCCAGAACTATCATCTCCATGGCATGGGCTACGATGTTTTGGAATCTGGCCATATGTAACAGAGCCACCAAGATGTTCGTATGTCATGCAAAGAGACACTCCCCCAACTCAGACTTATCACAGAGGAATGGGGTGACCAAATAGAAATTTGGCTGAATAGTTCTTCCTACCAAAGACTCAATGCAAATCCCACAGACAAGGCCTCAGAATTCAAGAAGGCCTTCTGCCTCAAATGATCAGCCCTACTGTCCACGCCTCCACCTCCCACACCCCCATGTCCCAAACCAAAGTGCTTCCTCACCATAAAGCTTTTGGCACATTCAAACCAACCCTCACCCAGTGTGGGGAAACAGCACAGCTTAACTCATCAGGAGACACTTCCAGAAGAGGGTTCAGTGACTACGGCTGGAAGCCCCAGGCAGAAGTGATACAGCACTGTTAGGACTTCAGGGGTGACTCTGGGGAGAAATTTTTCTACTTGATTCTATCAGCAGAGACAACAATTCAGGTTTTCACTCCCCATTTCATTCCCTGTGCTCTGATTGATCTACTTCCTGTTATTCCTACCAGAAAACAACTCTCCCAGAGCCCTAGGGTGACATCAGTCAAGTCAGAGGGTGGACCTCAGGAGACCTTTGTGGCTACATGCTGTAGTCCATGATCTGGTGTGCAAAAAACTCACGTGGAGCGGCTTTCACTCAAGACTTAAGGCAATGAAAGAAAAATGATTACCTTAGTTTCCCTTCCTCCACCATAACCACTCTCAGGTAATAATGGAAACCCCTAACCATCTCTGGCCTGAGCCGTTTTCTCTTCCCCTTTGTTCCATAGGTAGCTGGTGACTAGGCTCACTGGTGCTCCATCCTCTGAATGGAGAGGCGCATTCCTTCCATCTTTCCTGCCCAGAGCCTGCTCACAGCCAGCCAGAACATCCGCGTGCAACATCCGTGTTCAGTAAACGCGTCTACTCCAAAGCTGGGCCAGAAAGACACAGAGAAAAATCTGCATTTCGGTGTGTCCTGCTTCCAAACCATCCTATCTCAGCAAGCTTGAAGCCTGGCAGATAGGAACCTTTATGTCAAATCCAGTTCAAATTCTATTTTCACTTAAAACTCCATAATATAATTAACTTTCTACCTCAAGGCACATTGCTTTTGGGAGGCATAAAGCTTCCCTGGGTAGAGGTAATGTTTTCAAAGCTTAGCACTCAGTGACTGGGGATGTCAGAAAAATCCAGCAGCTGGCAGGAGACAGAATTATACTTTGTAAACAAGGGATAGAGATGCGGGGCTGGCCAGCCCTCACCTTGCACGCTGCCATCCAACAGAGCCCACCGCAGCCACTGAAAACACTGCCCGCCACGTAATAAACAACTTGCCACTCAGATGATTCTTAACCCCCACGCACAAGTGGTTTCCATCCTTCCAGTATAAAACATCAGAAACTCTGACCGTGAAAAATAACTTTTCAAAACACAAATACCTTATTTCTCTCTACATACCCAATTCCCATGCATACTTCCATTATTGAAAAAATTACCGGAAGTCACCAACTTCGAATGATGCCAAATGCTGGCAAAGCCATCACCTCTCCTTTTGAGCTGCAACAGGACAATGACCAGGACATCATTCTGATTCTTCAAAGCTGGAGTTTCCAATGTGTAGACCCCAAGTATACCTTGGTGGCTAATATCAGAAAGCCCAAAGTCCACATACGCACTCAAAAAGAAGAGATAAACATACAACTCCTCCCGATCATGTTTTCCCACTGAAGCGGTGTTAGTGGTCTAGCCCCGTGGAGCTCAAATTCGGCCGCTCACAAGAATCACCTGGGAACTTTTAAAAACGTCTCAATGCCCAGGTTGCACCCCCAGGCATGAGTATTTTTCAAGAACACTAGGTGTGCAGCCAAGTCTGAGAACCAGTACTCTGGCAAAATCAAAGTCCACCAGGCCACCTTTTATCCATGGTCAACACACCCTGGTCTCTTGCTAATACGGCTGGGGCAGCTCCTACCTATATAGAGCGAGGAGTCCTTCCTCCGCACGTGGTCGTCGATGTAGGAGACGCCCAGGGGCTGCACAGGGGTAGCACCGATGCCCAGGAGCACCTGGGCCCCAATGAGCAGCAAGTACATCATGTTGGTAGCCGTCCGGTTGCGGCAGATGAGGTCGGGGTCGGGCCCCTCGTCGCCGCCCGAGCCGTTGGCTGCGCAGACGTCGCGGCCCTCGGCGCCCCAGCGGATCTCGCCCGCCTCGTACTTGTACTGGTGGGTCAGGAACTCGGGCAGCGCCGACAGCAGCGCGCCCAGCGCCATGACGATGCCGCCGCAGCCGATCAGGCGCGGCCGGTGCCCGCGTGCCCCGAAGTAGCTCACGAAGAGGATGAGCGCCAGGTTCCCGATCTCGAAGCTGCTAGCGATCACACCCACGTCAGCGCTCTGCAGGTTGAACCTACGCTCCAGGGTGGTCAGGACGCTCACCTGAGGGGGGCAAGAAGAAAGGTCAGAGCCAATCCAAGAAGATGCCCAGGAAGCCTCTCCTTCCCGCCTGACAGTGCGCTCTGCCCATCCCCCCCGGGACCCTCCCACCTGGCCTCCGGTGCCAGGTGCAAAAAGGCAGCTGTGTAAATGCCTTTTAACCTGACGAATCAGAAAGACGTTTATTTAGTATCATAACCCTAATTCAGTTAACGAATTCACTTTCCCAGTAGCAACAATGTTTTTTCTGGCACCTGTTTCCATCCTGAAAGCTTCTACCCTCTTCCGGAAACACTGCATTCCCCACCCCCACAGACCTCCACCACAGACAGCCCATGAAAACCTATAAAAGTCCTGAAGTGCGCGGTTTGCACACACTCCCAAATATATACTAGGGATAAAGTCCATGCCAGGAAGACAGAGGAGCCAGGAGATTTTCCGCAGGAGGTTAGCAAAGCCTATCCCCCACCTCAAAATAAAAACAAACTTAACAAAACCCAAGTGGCAAAATGCACAAGCTAAATCAGCCCAGCGGGGTAATCATTTGCTCTTTGCTTCCGTCTGGAAATTTCCAGTGTACATTTCCCCAGAGGCCATCAGGTAAATACACCCCTGACTGTTCTAAGCACTATGACCCTGCCAAGTACCCTCCAACTGAATATTATGATTTCCCCCGTTTTTTTGTATTCTTGTCTGCCCTATGTTTGTTAAACATATACCGAACATCTGCTGCTTGCCAGGCAATGCCCTAGACACAAGAGAAAAGTGATGGAGAGAGGACATCTGGCCTGAAGAAGCCATCTAGCAAGAAGGTAAACATGTACCTAAGAATAACACAAAGGGACTGGAGGTGAGATGTGTGATGCAGACCTCACACCAAGGGGGCCATGAGGAGATGCATTCTTACAGGGCTTCTTAAAGTGGTAAGAAAATGAGATGGCTACCCTCTGCTGCTGTGTGCAAATTCCACGCAGGGTGCTGTGAGCAAGACAAGAGTCCTTGTCATGGGAGATCTGACAGCTGAATGATGTCCTCGCTGAGTAGGGAAGAACATTTCAGGCAAAAGGAACAGCATGAGCCAAAGATAGGTGGCATGATTTCATCATGGAAGAGAAAATAGCTGGGGCCGGGAGCAGTGGCTCACACCTGTAATCCCAACACTTTGGGAGGCCGAGGTGGGCAGGTCACTTGAGGCCAGGAGTTCGAGACCAGCCTGGCCAACATGGCAAAACCCCTTCTCTACTAAAAATACACAATTTAGCGAGGCGTGGTGGTGCATACCTATAATCCCAGCTACTCAGGGAAGGCTGAGGCAGGAGAATTGCTTGAACCCTGGAGGCGGCGGTTGCAGTGAGCTGAGATCACACCACTGCACTCCAGTTTGGGCAACAGAGCGAGACCTTGCTTCCAAAAAAAAAAAAAAAAAAAGGAAGAAAATAGTTGGAAAGGTGGGGTGAGGACAAATTGTAAGGAGCCACAAATGCCACAGGGGTGAATTTAGACAATCCCGAGCAATTAGGTAGACACAATACAGATCATGGAGGGAAGAAAACCTGGTTTGAACCCCTGTTATTATTTCCTTAGCTCTGTGTCCTCAGTCATGTTACTCAAACTCTCCCAGCCTGGATTCTACAAAACAGGAATCATAATATCTAATCAGCAGGAGGGATGTGAAGATTAAAAATAATGGATGAAAAGTCTGTTAGCACAGAGCAGCCTCTCCCTTCCTACATGGCAGGAGTGCATGGAGAGAGGCAGCAAAACAGAGGCTCTAGGGCCAGACCACCTGGGTCCATCCTGACTCTGGCTGACCTTGACCAAGTTACTTTGCGCGTTAGTTTCCCCATCTGTAAAAGGGGGATAAGAGTGCTACCTCATAGAGCTGGTGTCAAGAGTCAACAACACATACATGTAAATGCTAGGGAAGGGTCAGCTATAACCATTATCATTATCATTTATCTGTGAACACCGGAGAACAGCAAAGGTTTAATAGTGTAGGGGTCACACCAGGTGTGGTGAATGGAGGGTGGAAGAAGGCCAGCAGTGAAGACAGCTGGGCCATATTGAGAGAGGGGAGAAGAAAAGGCCACGTCAACACACTGGCAATGGAAATGAACAGGAAAAGATGTAAGAAGCATTTTAGGGCAGAGTTCTATTTCAGGGAGAATGAGCTGGATCTGCTGACCAACCGGGTGTGTCTACTAAGGAAAGGTCAAAAAGGAGAGTCATATGGATCTAACCTTCCTCCAAATCTACAAATATGGACACTGTTGTAAACGTCCATGCATCTACAACCTCTGCAGTGTCCAGATACGTGTATCTATGCACATATAAACATACGCCTGTGCTAATTAGCATGCTTCTATTCAATTTCCCGTTACTAAAAAAACAAACCAAAAAAATGCTATAGCCAGGTGATTCCTCTTAGCCTCATTTTCAAACCCACATATTTAAACAAACTCCTTGAGCCTAGTGGTTCTCAATCCTACCTGCAGATTGGAGGCACTCGGGGAGCACTAAAAATTTGAGAGGCCTGGTCCCACCTGGGAGGTTCTGACTGAACTGGTCTGGGGAGTGGCCTGGGGGCCCTAGGACGCTTTCAAAGCTCCCAGGTGATTCTAATGGCAGTGAGCAGCGCGGGGCTAAGGCCATGACACCCATTATTGGGGGTCTCTCTTTCAGCCCTGGCCTTCGGCAAGCTCTGCAGAGCAGGGTTATGACATCTGTGACACCCTCTATCTCTGGCATTCTGATCCCAACTCCTATTTCTATTGTGCTTTCTAGACAAGTCAAGGCCAGCTTGCAGATCACTCAGCCCTAGTTATGTGATTAGACTGTTACTTTTAAAACACCAGGTGTTTGCCGCTGTTCAGAAACGAAGTTTAGCTAGTCCTGGCATCATTCAAATGGCTTTTAAATACTGCCAAAGAAGTTCTGTCTGAAGGGTCTGGGCAAGTAAAAACAAATTCATTTATTTACTACTTTCCTTCGCAACACAAACAAACATACATACATGATGGAATAAATGATTTACCAGAGGTTTATAATAGGTGATGCAATGTGGCAACAAAAAGGAAGGCAGCCTAAAGACCTGGGAGGTAGGGGGCTTTGGGGAGCCTCGCCCAGGCCTTTGTGTGAGTCTTGAGAGGTCCAAAGGGGACTGGATGCAGAAGTGGAAAAGAACATGTCTGGGTGGGGTCCCCTAGAAAGTCACCCCCGGAGAGGTGGCTGAAGCAGTCTGGTAGGTCTTCAGCTTTAGGACCCACCATGAGGCTGGAGGGTAACAAAGTAGGGGGAAGGGAGAGAACAGAAGCTGTATCTCATTTTTGCCATGATGCCTCATGACATACACACAAGACAACAAATCTGAAACATGACAACTGCTCCATTTCAGCAGGTGTGCTGTGTCATAAAATATCATGCAGGTGTGCACATTGATGACAGATAAGGGTGATTGGGACAGAGACAGCTGTGGGCAAAACAAAAAATAATCAGTTCTTTTAGAGACAGATAACGCCCGTGCCTGCAGCTCTTGTCCTGGCTCCCACCTGCTCTTTGCAGAGCAACGCACAGGGGTGACAGGAAGTAGTACGGTCTTTCCCTCCTTGACCTGTGGCCTTCTGCTGGGCTGCAATGCCAGTCTGGGAAGTCATGCAAAGATTCTGAAATGATGCTTTGTGGATCAATTAGATCAGAGGCTAATGTTTTCACTCATTTAAAACACAATTTTGAGAAGACAGACTAAGTATGCATGAGGCCATAAAACCCACTTGTAGCCTTTATGTGGCAGTGAACAACCCAGCCTGAGGAAGAGCATGTGGAAGGGAATGACTGCCTTTACTTAATGGGTAACAGGACTAATGGAGAAGGTCTTGATAATTAGAGAAGAAGGAGCCATAACTGCAAGAGGAAAAGGAAAGAGGAAGCGTCCTTATCCTGAACCAAGTGTATATGAAGTTATTATGTAAAGTATGCAGTATGTATCAGGCTTCTACAATGATTATTCAAAAAAAAAAAATCAGCTTGCATTTCAGAATGTCCTGGGGCAATTGTTAAAAATATAGATGTCCCGGCCGGGCGCAGTGGCTCACGACTGTAATCCCAGCACTTTGGGAGGCTGAGGCAGGCGGATCACAAGGTCAAGAGATCGAGACTATCCTGGCCAACATGGTGAAACCCCATCTCTACTAAAAATACAAAAATTAGCTGGACGTGGTGGCACATGCCTGTAGTCCCAGCTCCTCTGGAGGCTGAGGCAGGAGAACTGCTTGAACCCGGGAGGCAGAGGTTGCAGTGAGCCAAGACTGCGCCACTGCACTCCAGCCTTGGTGACAAAGCAAGACTCCGTCTCAAAAAAAAAATCTAAATATCTATATAGATATAGATACGTATATATATAGATAGATATAGATATGCGTCTGATACCCAGCTGGAGATGAGGACCACTGACCATTCAGGCACCAGGCACATACTCACCATCATTCTAGAACCAAGGTTCTCAACCTTCATTGGCAGTAAAATTACCCCCAGAGAGTGTGAGACTGCTGAACCCCAAGCCCAGAGTCTTTGATTTTGCAGGTCTGGGGTGGGGTCTAGACTATGCGTTTCTAACAAGCTACCTGGTGACACTGATGCTGCTCATCAGAGGACCCCACTTTGAGTACCTCTGCTTTACTCAGCTTCCTCTTCTCAACTAGCCTTCCCCCATTCAAAAGATGAAAGAGTTTAAGTTATCTACAAATTGAAATTATCGCCTCCTCATTTCCAGTTCATAGAGACACTGTCTCCTCATGTGGGAAATGTTGGGATGCATTTCTGGGAGCCTCACCTTCTGGAAAGTGCTGAAGTCACACTAAGGCCAACTGAAACTATCAGCACTTAGCCCAAAAGGGAGAGCTTCAGTCTATGTTGCCATAGGACAGGACACATTCAGAGGCCACGGCCAAGTATTCATGAGCCCATCCTCACCTTCAAAAGGTGCCAACCAGGGGCAAGGTTATCAGGCATTCACTTAACAAAAAAACACTTATTCTTAGGGGCAGGCAGCAGCAACTCAGGGGCTCTCCCAGAGGTGTGTCCATCTTCTCACTCTGGTCTGGGTGGCGGGGCCTTGGCCTGAACTGGCATCACCTGAGCTTTTGAAAAACACCTGTGCGTGTCCTCCCACCTGCAAGACTGGGCATCTGTATTTTCAGAGTTCCCTGGGTGACTCTAACATGCATGCAGGTAGAGGCGTGTGCATGTGTATCAGGTGGCAGAGAGGTTGTGCATGCATGGATGTTTACACCAGAGCAGCCTGGTCCTATCAGTGTAAGTCTGGAGCAGGAGAGCCTCGAGTTCCCATCTGGCTTTGACAGCATTTGGTCAAGTCAATCTTCCTGAGCCTGTTTCCACACCTGTGTGGTGGAGAGAACAATACTTGCTTCTGCGGACATTAATGAAGTCATACATCAGAGCAGCTGGCCCACAGTAGGTGCACACTAAAAAGCTAGCCACATCACTGGTGTGCATGCTCTGTGACTTCACTTCAAATTCAGTCCCACACAGCCAAGTGCCTGCTCTGTGATAGATGCAAGAAACATAACCATGATTAAGAGAGCATGCTGCCTTGTAGGAGTTTACAGTCTGGGGACAGCAGAAAGAAACAATCTAACAATGGTACAGCCTGCAACAGGGTAACAGAGTGGCAGAGGGTTTGAGGGAGCAACAACATTCATTTGGCTGTGTGTGGAGGAATATATACCTGGGATGCAACAAAGATCAATTAGATTTTAATAGCTGTGGGAGGGGAGAGGCTGCCACAACATTCCAAGAGCAAAGATCAGTGGCGTCAAGGAGGCTGGCAGAGGGAGAGTTTAGACCACCCCTGGGGAAAGGCAGGAATATGGAGTGGCTTCAGAGAACTGTGAGTAGTCGTCTGAGATAAAAACAACCTTGAAGGCCAGACTGAGGCTTTGATTTAGAGGTCAATGGGGAGCGAAGGGAGGTTCTTGAGCAGGAGCCGCTCTTCTGCAGTATTAACCTGGCACTGCTGTGCAGGTATCAGGGAGGAGAGACGGCCGGGGCAGCTGTTTCCACAGTGCTGGGGAGAGAGGAGGCTTCAGCAGGCTAATGCTGGTGTAACAGCAAGGAAAGGCCCCTGTGGCAGAGCCACCTTAGAGATCCAGCTCAACAGAGGCAGCAGCTGATTGGAGGCATGGAACAAACAAGGTGGAGCCGAAAGGTCCCTGCGAGAGTCTCACCTGGCTCAGTCTGGAGCGCTTGTGAAGGGTGAGAGCAGGATGCTCTATGAGGCTGGGAGGAGCCCGGGAGTGCAGTGTGGAGAGCCTGCATTTTAAAGTCCTTCTGCTGAGTAGTGGCAGATGTGACAGAACTGAGCAGGCTCTTCCTGGGGAGCTTCGGGGAACCTATACCCTCAAACTGCACACTCAGCAGCAGGGCCCATGTCAGGGAGCAGATGCTAAAAACAGTGCAGGAGATGTCAATCTCGCTGTGGTCCTGCAAAAACCTGTGGTTTTCCCAACAGGGGTTCCTGAACAGGGTCTGGCATACTTTCTCTGTAAAAAGCCAGTCAGTAGATATTTAGGCCATATGGTCATCATAGCAGCTACTCAACTCTACCACCATAACACAAAAGCAGCATGCATGGACAATATATGAACAAATGGAAATGGCTGTGTTTCAATAAAACTTTATTTACAAAAACAGGCAGCAGGCCACATTTGGTCCATAGGCCACATGTAGAATGCCAAACCCCTGATCTCTATAAATTCAGCATGGGAAATCACACTATTCCCGTGCCTGGCAATACAAACACTGGCCATTGGTAAGTATATGAAGCACTCCTGTTGCTGTAACAGAAAAGTCATTCCAGGCACAATTTTAATGCAAGCTTTTTGGGTTTCTTTGTTTGTTTGTTTTGTTTTGTTTTGTTTGAGACAGAGTCGCGCTCTGTTGCGCAGGCTGGAGTGCAATGGCGCGACCTCGGCTCACTGCAACCTCTGTCTCCCAGATTCAAGCAATTCTCCTGCCTCAGCCTCCTGAGTAGCTGGGATTACAGGCACCCGCCACCACGCCCAGCTAATTTTTGTATTTTTAGTAGAGATGGGGTTTCACCATGTTGGCCAGGCTGGTCTTGAACTCCTAACCTCTGGTGATCCGCCCACCTCGGCCTCCCAAAGTGCTGGGATTACAGGCGTGAGCCACCGTGCCCGGCCAAGTTTTTTTTTTTTTTTTTTAATTCCATTAAAGTAATTTGCAAGATAACTTCAGTGTTCTGTCTGATGTGCCAAGGACATGTCTTCCTGTAGTAAAGTGGTAGAAAGAGACTTAATCACCTAAGCCCAGAAGTCATTTCCCCATGATGAAGCAGCAGCAGCAATAGTGTGAGGTTTTGTTTCTCATCTAGACAGCAGCTCCTTGGGGTGAGTCATTTACAGTTCTAGGGAAATGGCACACAAAATGCATTCACTTGTGAATTCCAGGATCCTAGATCTGCAGAACCAAGTAACAGAAGACGACACAGGATCAGCCTCTTGTCATGGCTATGGTGGCAAAGAGAACACCCACCTCATGTGCTGACTAGGGAAAAGAGACATTTAGTCAATGAGGTTTTATTTCTGGTGGAATGATTTAGCTTGGATCATGTTCACATATAAATGGGGGCCATTTTAAAACCATTTTTCTTTAAAAAGCAGAGTAAGAATCATATGGAGAATCTCATAGACACAGACTCTAAACTCCAGTCTACACCAAAAGCATCATCATTTTAGGGGGCAAGTTGTGGGGGTGGGGATTACAGTGGAAAATGTGTGAGATTTTGAGTTTCATATTAACTGGGTAATATGAGACAAGGCACTTAACACCCCTGCAACTCTCCTTTCCCTTCTATAACATGGAGATAACAATCCCCCCTTACAGTTTTGTCACAGGGTCCAAATGAGGGAGAGAAAGGCTCTGCACACCTGCACGTCACAGTTATGCCTGGGGTTGTGCGTGGTGGCTTTCCTCGTCCTTGCAGCAGGATCATGAAAGCTGCTGGCTCTCTCTCTCTGGGCCTCTGTACTGCCCTCTCTACACCTGGGTCTTTCATAGGGGCACTATCGTTCTCTCTGATCACCTAGTCTGCGAGTGAGAGTCGGCCTGGCTTTCCTTAGAAAGGCTTCATTGGAGCTGGGCACGGTGACTCACGCCTGTAATCCCAGCACTTTGGGAGGCCGAGACGGGTGGATCACCTGAGGTCAGGAGTTCAAGACCAGCCTGACCAATATGGTGAAACCCCGTCTCTACTAAAAGTGTAAAAAACAAAATTAGCTGGGCATGGTGGCACATGCTTGTAATCCCAGCTACTCAGGAGGCTGAGGCAGGAGAATCTGCCTGGGAGGCAAAGGCTGCAGTGAGCCAAGATCATGCCACTGCACTCCAGCCTGGGTGACAGAGTGAGACTCTGTCTCAAAAAAGAAAAATAGAAAAAAAAGAAAGGCCTCCTTGGGCCAGGCACAGTGGCTCATGCCTGTAATCCTAGCACTTTGGGAGGCCAAGGTGGGAGAATCACCTGAGGTCAGCAGTTCAAGACCAGCCTGGACAACATGGTGAAACCCCATCTCTACTAAAAATACAAAAATTAGCCAGGCTTGGTGGCGGGTGCCTGTAATCCCAGCTACTCGGGAGGCTGAGGCAGGAGAATTGCTTGAACCCCAGTGGCAGAGGTGCAGTGAGCTGAGATCGCACCAGTGCACTCCAGCCTGGGCAACAGAGTGAGACTCCATCTCAAAGAAAACAACAGAAAAAGAAAGGCCTCCTTGGTCTGTCCTTTAAGACTCCGTCTCTGCCATCGCCTGCATTTTTCTCTACTTCACTATTTGCACCTTCCTCAGGCTACTGTTTCCTCTATACTCCATTTCTTAGTTTCTCTCATCTCCCTTTTCTTCCACTCTTTCCTCTAAATGGCCCTAAAGTAAAACTGAGGCAAATGTTATTATTCCTTACATTTAGTGAATTTTTATGTTCATTGATTCATTCTGAGGGTATGTAACATTTCATGATTGTCTCTTTAAAAAAAAAAAAACACTCAATTTAATTGCTTCCTACTCATAAATCTCATCATTGATTTTTCTCTGTAGCTCTTTGGTCCATCATAGAAAAATAAAGACTCTCCATCCCTCCTGGGTACAGTCAACTAATAGAATTTTCTACCACTCAGGATCGGAGCTTTCAATTCATTTCCAGATATTTTTGCATCAGACTATTATTAATAGTTTGTGTTTCACACCTTTAACACACCAACTTCTGTGGTGCCAGGGCTCTTTTATTAGAGAAATTTTAAGAATAATGATTTCAATGATTTCCTCAGCATTCAACAAAAATGTACAGAGGACCAGACATATTCTCAAGACAGAGATCTTAGTCTAAGGCCCTCATTTGATTTATGCACACACACACGCTGCTATATGCAGAACTGTTTTCACTGAATTGGGCTTCTTTATATGCCCTAGGGCCCCGGCTTCCTGTCAAATGCATTGAAAATCCTTTATTGCAAAGCTGTACCATGCCAGGGGCTGGATAGGCAAAGTTCGATAAGACCTGGTCTCTGCCCTCAACCAGCTCACAGTATCATGGAGACAACAACTATGAAAACAGGGAATTATCATAAAGGATGAATAAAGTTTCTCTCTACCGGAATAAAGAAAAACACACAATCAGTACCCAAAGAAATAGCACATAGTTAGTTAGCCCCTAGTAACTGAGGAGACAAGTGTCTAGCAAGCTCTGGAATGGGGGTATCATTAAATACAATCATGTTGAACATTTGTTATTACTTATGCCAAGTCCAGTATGGAGCGCTTTACGTATTCTGACACACTTACTCTCCACTATGATTCCATGAGGCAGAAATATTACTATCCCATTCTACAGATGAGGAACCTGAGCCCAGAGAAGATAACTATCCCATTGATGCCACGCAGCTAAGGTGCAGAGCCAGGATTGACGCCCAACCCCACTGGTCCCATAGCACCCAAGTGACCAAGCACTGTGCCCCTGCGTCAGCAAGGTGGCCCGACTTGGGGGTGAAGGCTAATGGGCCTATCAGCTAAGCAGGGGCAGCCACAAGCAAATTGGTGACCAAACTTGCCCTAAAAATAACGATAAGTTTACTTATTGTTAAAAGTTATATAAGGAGGAAAAAGAGTTCTGAGGTCATATGAAATTTTTAAAACTCTGGGTTGAACAAAGAGAAATAGTTTTCTTTACAAGACTTTTATAAGTTTTCCAAATGGTAACATTTACTGTCAAAAATCCATCAAAATATATATTATGTAGCATTTC
This sequence comes from Homo sapiens, assembly GCF_000001405.40. Classification (NCBI taxonomy): domain Eukaryota; kingdom Metazoa; phylum Chordata; class Mammalia; order Primates; family Hominidae; genus Homo; species Homo sapiens. The sequence continues at coordinate 91,905,669 of NC_000015.10, read as the reverse complement.
CTGAAACTCCCTTGACCACGTAACTTAAAAAAAAAACAAAAAACTAAGCATCCCTTGAAAACATATATACAGGCTGCCATCCATTTCCACAGGTCCATCCAGGGATTCGATCGACCATGGATCCAAAATATCCGGAAAAAAATAAAAAAAATAACAACACAGCAATCAAAATAACTAAATTAAAAACCAATAGTATAAGAACCATTTATACTGCATTAGGTATCACAAGAAATCTAGAGAAGATTTAAAGTGTATGAGAGGATTGCATAAGTTAAAGTCCAATGCTATACTATGTTCTTTGACTGACTTGAGCTTCTTCAGATTTTGGTATCTGCAGAGGGCTCTGGATATCCCACAGATCCCAAGGGATAGCTATATACACTATCAGAAACATTGGTTTAAGGCAGATATGAGATATTTTTAAAATTAAGGTCTAGCAAAAGCTCTGCTTCTCCTGGGAACTAGTTCTACTGTTTCTCTCACCTTAGCTACACCCAACCAAAGTCTATAAATAATGTGATTATAGCTGTATTTCCCTGTTTGCTTTGGTTCCCAGGAATCTCAGACCCAAGCCTGCAGCCATGTGAGAGCAATGATGTGGAATGTTAGGGATGAGCGTAAGCATCTCATTTCTTTTTCTCTTGGCCTTCAAATTCTACTTGTAATTCCATAGGACTGTACTGCTTACAACCCATCTCTACCAGGTCAGGGTACAAAATCATTGTATGTAAATTCCTCAAGAGCAAACCATCAGAGAGGTAGGGTTAAATTGTAACTATCAAGATAACCAATTTCCACCTAATTATATCCTCTCTTGGAAATGAACCTCCATAAATACGCTAATAAAATAATATGATTACCAAAGCTTGTGCATGCAGGTATGGAATAAACACAGGTCAGAACAAAATAGCATCCTCCTATATGCAGCATTAAAAAGCTTCCAGAATAATAACAAAGTCCAATTTTAGTTTCAGAGCAGTGAAGAAAACAACCACGAACCATAAGAACTCACCTTCCCCGACCTGCCTCTGCCAGCTTGCTGCTCTGATTGACCTGTGTGTCCTTCTACTCCTATTTTAGTGTATCTCAGGCACAAAACACCCTCACTGGCTTCATCTGAGATACAGAGTGACTGATCACAGGACCAATGGATATTAACTGCTAATTGGATGTTGATATGATCTAGTCCATTCCTTGCAGTCTACTAGGAGGAACCGGAAGCCCAGAGGAATGAAGCAATTTGCAATGTATCACGCACCTGCAAATGGCACACCTGACGCCCAGTTTAATTCTACTCCCCCAGCGTTAGGAGAAGAGTAGACATATCACTACTTGGTCTCGCTCCCCCAGGAGTAAAACAGTTTCCTACTTGTTGGATGCACAGTATCTGGTCAAGGTGCTAAAAATGCTATACTGATAAGTACCCAAATAAATACCAAAAGGTGTACCTGTAATTGACCACAGGAGTAGAGAGGTGAACATCCGTGCATGATATAACAGCAGTGCCTCTTCCTGCTGAAGCTAAACGTGGGACCCTCTTCAGAGGAAGGGGAAGTGAGGGCATGTGCTGTGGGGCACCTCACCTCCACCCAGGAAAAGCGTGGCCCTCCCTCCCGCTGAACACAGATCCCTCTACCCGACCCACTCCTTCCCATCTCCTGAAGACCTTTCTCCATCACTGTGTCCTGTTTCCTCCTCTTCACTCTCACCCTCTCCACCGGCTCCACCCCTGCCCTCTCCACAAGCACACCCAATCCTCATCCATGTACAACAACAACTTCAATTCAACAATCACCTTTCTTGTCACTGCCATCCTCCTTCAGTCCTTCTGTTAAGAATCATAAGAAAGTCCCCATTTGCTCGGTACACCTCAGTCAAACCCATGTAAGCAGATTTCACATCTATGGCTACCATCTTATGGCCATGCTGCCCTGCTCCTGAGCACAGAGCTGGACACGTGGTGGCTAAGCCAGGATCACTGCATACAGCTGCGTAGGACATATGCCTCCCTCCACAAAGGCCTCCCATACTTTGTTCACCCTAGCTGTGTCCACTGGAGGAAAAGGCACCAATCTCTCATTTGCTCGATGGCTCTGTGTGGGTGAGAAACAGCTGAGGTTGGTGAGTACACACCATAAGACCCCCTGCTCTCCCACAGCTCCCCCACAACCACTCCCTTTTGCAAAAATACCTAAAAATCAGCATCCTCGCCACACTGTCCTGTCCGTTCCTGAAGTGCCCGAAACAAGAGAGCTTCTGAAATGGTGGCAATTGTGCTAATTAACTTCTTGGATTGGAAATGCAAGTGTACAGACCTCATCTCAAATTCAATGGCTTCTGAGCAGCACCAGGCAATTTGGGCAGTTCCTAGAGCTAGGAGGGAAAACACACTGACCAACCTTTGGCCTCAACGAGGCACCAGGCCATCTGTTCCTCAGGTCCCCTGCAGTCCCTCCTCCTCGCATCTTCAGTTACTCTGAGAGCTGTCCTCATTTCCTCCGTATGTCAAGCATCACTTAAGAAAGATGATCTGAGAATCCAATGAGCTGACTACGTGCGAGCCACCAGACCAAGGATGGTGGGGCAAGGTTTAAAGTGCCAAGTAAGATACAGTCCCTGCCCTTGCTGCACCAAGTAAAAGAGCTAACATATTGCATTTGCAGTAACAAGCACCGCTGCTATCACTATGTAGATGAATCCATTTCATTCTTACAACAACCTTGTTACGTAAGTACTATTATTATTTCGAATTTGCAGATGAAGATACAGAAGCACAAAAGTTAAGTCATTTGTCCAAGGTCTAGTAATTTGCCGAAGGTCTTGCAGCTTGCAAATGGCAGGGTCAGGATTCAAGCCCAGGCAATCCGGTGCCAGAGTCCACACTTTATCTGCCCCATGAGTTTTCCTCTCTAGAAGGAAAAAGGCAGTGGGGCTAGAATGGCAGTGTGAGAAGCCTGGCAAATCCTCTCAAAAACAATGATAAAACTGTCAAAAACAACCATTTCAAGACTCTGGACAAAACATACAACAAACTGAGGAGCACTAATTCATTTAAAACTTCTGGATAGATCAGTGGGAATCTGGTTCTTGCCCTCCCTCCTACTCCCATGTAGGTTGGCAGAACAGTGGCAGGGAAAGCAATATTGATTGCAAATAAACAAGGAAATCCCCCTCAGCTACCCTGAGGCTGCAACCAGTAGTGCTGGTTGGGGCAAGCAAAAGACTGGCAAACTAAACAGAATTTTAAACGGAAGACAGGGATCAGCCATAGGGATCCTTAAGCGCTCCCCATTATCTCTGGTTGACCAGAAAGCCATGAGCACACACTGGAGAGAGCCCTAGCTGCTCAGGAGGCTGGGGTGGGAGAATCACTTGAGCCTAGGAGTTTGAGGTTTCAGTGAACTATGATCATGTCACTGCACTACAGCCTGGGTGACACAGTGAGTGAGACTCTTGTCTCTTAAAAAAAGAGATACAGAAAATATTTTTCTTAAAAAAAGGAACCAAATGGAAATTCTAGAGTTGAAAAGTATAATAAATGAAACAAAAAATTCACAAAAGGAGCTTGATATCAGATATGAGATGTCAGAAGAAAGAATCAGTAAATCAGTAAACTTGGAAAATAATCACTAAGAATTATGCAATCTGAACCACAGAGAAGAAAAATGAACAGAGCCTCAGAGACCTTTAGGACACCACCGAGCATACCAATATACATGCAATAGAGTCCCATAAAGAAAAAAGAGAAAGAGGCAGAAAAAAAAATTGAAGAAATAATGGCCCAAACATCCAAAATGTAGTGAAATACAAGAATCTACAGGTCCAACAAGCTCAAAGAACCCCAAAGAAGAACAAACACAAAAAGATCCCCGCCTAGACACATTGTAGTTTGTTAAAAGGCAAAGACCCACAGAAAATTGTGAAAGCAGCAAGAAAAGATGGCAACTCATCACATACCCAGGGTCCTCAATAAGATTAAGAGCTGACTTTTCATTAGAAACAATGTATTTAAAGTTCTGAAAGAAAACAAACCGTCAACCAAGAATTCTACATCCGGCAAAGCTTTCATTTGAAAATGAAGGCAAAATAAAGGTATTCCTAGATAAACAGAGACTTGGGGGATTCACTGCTAGCAAATCTTCCTTGCAAAAATAATAAAGGAATTCCTTCAGATGGAAAGGAAACGATACCATATAGTAACTCAAATATACACTAAGATATACATTAATAAAGAACATCAGAAAAGTTAAATATGTAAGTAAATACAAAAAGCTATATAAATGTATTTTTCTTCTTCTCTTAACTTCTTTAAAAGGCATTAGATTGCATAGAACCATAACACTTCATTTATAAGATATAGATGTAATACGTTTGACAACAAAACTACAAAGGAGGGGGATGAAATGGAGCTATACTGGAGGAAAGTTTCCATGTTCTAGAGAATTTTAGTACTGATCTGAAGTACACTGTGATAACTTAAGACATATATCATACATGCAATCACTAAGAAAATAATTCAAAACATGAGGAAAAGGAATTGAAATGAAACATGAGAAAATATTAACACAAAAGAGTACAATAAAGAAGAAACAAAGGAACAAAAAAAAGATGAGACATAAAACAAATCACAAAATGGCAGGTGTAAATGCAACTACATCAACCTAAGAATAGAGCCCCATAATACATGAAGTAAAAATCGACAAAATGAAAGGCGAAATAAACAATACAACAATAATATTTGGAGAAGTTAATATCCCTCTCAATAATTGATAAAACAATGAGACAGAAAATCAGTAAGGATAAAGATGATTTGAACAAAACTACCTACCAACCTTACAAATCAACAGTAAAATGACAAACAACTCAATTTAAAATAGGCAAGTAATTTGAGGAGATATTTCACCAAGGAAGATATACAAATGTCTAATAAGCATTTGAAAAGATGCTTAGCATTATTAGTCTTTAGGGAAATGCAAATAAAATGTCACAATGAGATACCACTACCCACCCAGTAGAATGTGTATAATGAAAAATACAAACAGGCCAGGCACGGTGGCTCACACCTGTAATCCCAGCACTTTGGGAGGCCAAGGCGGGCGGATCACCTGAGGTCAGCAGTTTGAGACAAGCCTGGCCAACATGGTGAAACCCGTCTCTACTGAAAATACAAAAATTAGCCGGGCACAGTGGCATGCACCTGTAATCCCAGCTACTGGGGAGGCTGAGGCAGGAGAATCGCTTGAACCCAGGAAGTGGAGGTTGCAGTGAGCTGAGATCACACCACTGCACTCCAGCCTGTGTGACAGAGCAAGACTCCATCTCAAAAAACAAAAACAAACAAACGAACAGACAATACAAAGTATTCACGTCCATCTGAGGAAACTGGAACACTCAGATACTGCTAGTGGGAACATAAAAGATAAAATGGTTATAGCCACTTTGAAAAGCAGTTGAACAGCTTCTTAAAAAGTTAAGCATAAATTTACCACATGACCCAGTAATTCTACTCCCAGGTATCTACCTAAGAGAATTAAAAACACACATTTATATTGACAGCAAATAGAATTATTCATAATAACATCACATTGGGAACAACTCAAACATCCATGAATGGTTAACAGAGAAACAAAATGTGATATAACCAAAAATATAACACCAACACAATCTGATAAATACAGTATCTACTAAATTCCAATACCAATGAATAGTAGTGGCAATGAAATGGAACAAACTATTATTAATACATGCTATGATGTAGATTAACCTCAAAAAGATATGCTAATTGAAAGAAGCCAAATGTGAAACACTATATATATTGCATGATTCTGTTTGTATGAAATGTCCAGAAAATGGAAAGCTATGGAGAAAGAAAGTAGGTTGTCTGGAAGATGGAGATGGGGCAGGAACTTACCACAACTGGGCATCAGCAACTTTCTGGAAGGATGGAATGTTTTAAAACTGAGTGTGGTGATGACTGCATAACTTTATGAATTTGTTAAAAATCATTGACTTGTATACTTAGCATGGACGGATTTTATGGTATATAAATTATACCCCAATAAAATGGAAAAAAGACAATGCACAGAAATGATCAAAATGTAAGGTGGAATGTGGTAAATGCAATGAAAAAATAGGGCAGAACTGGGAGAGGTTCACAAAAAGCTTCCTGCAAGAGGAGTCACGTTGGAACTACATACATCTTATAGAGTAAATAGAATGTTGTTAGGTTATGATAAAAGAAAGGGAACTCCAAGTAGAGACCACTCAATAAGCAAATGCATCAAAGTGGAAAAGGCAGGGGGACAGTTGGTGAACTAACCAGGTACTGTCTAGTTTACCAAAGCACAGAGGTGAAGGGAGCTAGTTAGGGAAACGCCTGCAAAATAGCCCCATCCCCCCCACACTGAACTAGCTTCCCTTCTAAGTCACTCTCTCTCCCTGTTCTACATCAGAGGTTACAGACATTGTGTTGGCCTGGATATTTAGGAATCACTCAAGTGCTGTCCAGAGTTCCAGAATGTTTCTGGGGTACATTTGCAGAACCCAGGAGTTGGTATGTTGAAACCCTCTGGGAGATTCCAATGCTGTTTAAACCTCATTGATGACTCTCTCCAAGGAGTTTTGAATTGCTCTTCACTTGGGAACACACCAGCCCTTCCCTCCTTCCCATATGGCACTTGGCCACTCTTCATCCCAAAGACAGAACTAAAGAGTTTCATTTTACGCATTATTTGTTGTGACTGGGTGATAGGAGCCACGAAGAATAAAATTCGCAGCAGTTTTTTAACCTCTCTTCATTATCACCTCCAAGAACCTTTTTAGACATTTCTTCCTAATTGTCCCCCCATGAAATTTTAATACTACCAATAAAATGTAAATCTCTCTATATATTCATAATATGTATATTTTGCTTTATACATAAAAAGAGTAAGTTTTTGCCTCCCTCCCCCACCCAGAAGTAATTTTCCCTCCACTAGAAGTGATATCAACTCCATCCAAAATGCATGCTCTGGAGTCTCACAGTTAAGGGAAGAAGAAGATGTCAACCCACTGAGGATGATGTTAGTATCTTGCGGATCGAAATGTTAAATTCCTTTAGCTGAGTTTTCCCAGATCCACTGGAAATGAGGAAGGGAGTGCAGCCTTCTCAGCCCTCCAGAAGAGACTCAAATTGCTCTGGAGGCCAGATAATAATGGAGCCAGGCCTGACAGGAGAACAATTACAGAAATGAGATGTTTGTGTCTAATAAAAGCTGAAAGCCAAGAGAGACACATTGTTTGGGGAAATTGCATAGACAAGCAAGTCTAATACAGTATTAGAAATATTAGCAAATGTAAAAGGAAATGCACTCTCTGGAAAGACTGTGATCTCAAGCGTCTAGAATAGAGGCATTGTCTCTCCAGTTACAGGACAAGGCCTTCTTTACCTCAGTGAGAAAGTGGTTATTGCCTAACTGGGGATCGACAAGCTTAGAGCATGTTGCTGTGTGCACCAGTGACACAGGCACACGGCTCTGTTCTTAGGCAGGTGTTTGGTACATGATGGATGGTCACCAGATGCATCCCCAGAAATGACAGAGCCCTATAATGTTAACTGGGTCACACTAGCTCCAACTTCACACTTAGAAAACCGTGTCGAGAGAGGCACCTTAACGCAAGCCAAGAACAACAGAAACAAACCATGAGCACCTGCTTTCTGCATCTCATGATATCTTTCTAATTTAAAAACCCCGTGTGTGTAGAGCAGCGATTCCTTCTTGTTCTCAACTTCGCCTGGCTCTGCCCTGCAGTTTCAGCTGCCTTTCGCCTCCCGCACCCATCCTCATGCTCACATGTCATCCATTGCAGGATGCCTGAGCAGGTCAGAAAATAGAGAGAACAGTCTGTTCCAACACTGCCCTTAACACACTGCTGCTGGAGCCCACGCTGCAGGGTAGACTCAGCCTAGCACATGGGAGCACACCAATCCACTCTGCCGCCACTGTCCAGGGAGACTAACTTTATCAAGAGGACAGTCCCAGCATTTCATCAGCTAGGGAAAACACCTGCAGCCACGTTTTGAGATAGTCAAAGGCACCAGCACAAAAGAAACTGTCAGAAATCAGAAGAAGCCTGTTGAGTTTTTTATTTTGATCCAAAGAAATTTAAAAACCAGGATAGGACATTAGTTGGAACATCCAGCTTTATAAGTTTTGGGGGTTTGTTTGTTTGTTTGTTTTTAGACAGAGTCTCGCTCCATTGCCCAGGCTGGAGTGCAGTGGCACAATCTTGGCTCACTGCAACCTCTGCCTCCTGGGTTCAAGCAATTCTCGTGCCTCAGCCTCCTGAGTAGCTGGGATTATAGGTGCCCGCCACCATGCCCAGCTAATTTTTAGTAGAGATCCCCATCTCTACTAAACTGGCCACCATGTTGGCCAGGCTGGTCTTGAACTCCTGATCTGCCCACCTCAGCCTCTCAAAGTACTGGGATTACAGGCGTGCACCACCGCATCCAGCCTGTCTTTATTTTAAAAGCAACAATTGTATAGACAATGGCAAATAGTGTGGTAGGAACTTATCTTACGGTTACTTTGATTTCTCACAACTTTCCAGCTGCTAAAATGGCATTATCATCTCCATTTTCTAGAGGCAACTAAAGATCACAAAAGTGACATATCGTTCCTAAAATCACAGAGCTACAAGGGGCAGAGACAGGTTTCACCCAGGACTGTCTGGCTCCTAAAAGCCCACAATACCTCTCCTCAGCATCAAGGCTGGTATCAATGAGACATATTCTAAGTACCATTTGGATTATTTTCTTACAAGATACAGCATGTCCTGATGATAAACATCTTACATAAGACTCACCTTTATTCACACTAATCAGAGTGTCCCTCCAGAAAAAGCACCTCTGTATTAGTCTGTTCTCACACTGCTAATAAAGACATACCTGAGACTGGGTAATTCGTAAAGAAAAAGAGGTTTAATGGACTCACAGTTCCACATGGCTGGGGAGGCCTCACAATCATGGTGGAAGGTGGCAGAGAAGCAAAGGCATGTCTTACATGGCAGCAGGCAAGACAGTGTGCACAGAAGATTTGCCCTTTATAAAACCATCAGATCTCATGAGACTTATTCACTATCACGAGAACAGCACGGGAAAACCCACCCCCATGAGTCAATTACCTCCCACTGGGTCCCTCCCACAACATCTGGGGATTATGGAGCTACAATTCAAGATGAGATTTGGATGGGGACACAACCAAACCTATCAACCTCCAAGTGTCATTTCTACCTGGAGTCCTACCTCAGAGAAGCAATCGTGACTGCACCATGGATCTGACTTTTATTTTTTTGGCAGATAAAGAAAAGTTTTTTCAGCTTTGTGATGGGGCCATCACTCTGAGTCCTCATCCAGGATGTAACATGCTGGTTTCCAGAGTTAGAGGATAGAGAGGTGCATATGCTTATGCCGGGAGCATTTCTTCCAACACAGGAAAAGGCCCTGCTTTAATTCTACAACCATATTATGAACTGCAGATATTTCATTAAGGACTCTTAAACCATGCCTGTTTTATCTCTGGAGTTAGCTGTAATTGCGAAAATGGAAGAGAAACAAATAGGAGACACAAACATTGAGAACTGAAGGATTTAGGCTTCTTTAGAGGAGCAAAATGACAAACAGGTTGAGTGCTTTTAACTGAATAGCTTCCTACTGGAAAACAAGAAAGGACACTGGTAGTTTTGAGTAAGGCTGGGTCTACACAGTTCATTGTCCTTGACACTGCCTAGTTTTGAAAAATCTGTGTGGGCTCTGAAGAGAAGATTTGCATTTATTAGAAGTGAAGAACATAATAAAAATGGAAA